>NC_000005.10:21216911-21519941 GCF_000001405.40 Homo sapiens | reverse complement strand
TTCTCACTAAGGCACATGGGTCTAATTCCATTACATTTTTGGCCTGTGTCAATTAATTTTCTTTTCTCAGATAATAAATTTACACTCCTATTCCACTTCTGAGCAGTTAGACATTTTCAGCATGGAACATTCTATTAAAATGAAATGGCAAATTGCCTTGTAGCACACACATTTTCAAAGAATGTTTTGTCTGATAATGTAGTTCTTATGAGTTTCTTTCCAAAGTAATCCATTTACACAAAATACATTATTAATTTTGTGCATTTACAAACTACACATAATTTCAAAGTGATGTCATTGTTCCACAAATACATCTAGGTTTTAAAGTGATTGATTAAATTCTGTTTAAAATTTTGCACAGAAGTGCAGTATATAATCACATATCCCTCTGTGCAGGATATAGTTTTCTAAATCATACTCCATTGTCAGGAGCATGTTCATCTTCCATACAGAACACACTGACTGAAAATAAGATCAAGTCTACACATTTGGGATATAAATTTTTGAGATTACTGCTCTTGGTATAATATATCTCTCTTGTACTTGAGCCTCTAGATCTTGCTGTTTTTAACACTTTTGTGCTCGCAAGATTTACGCTTCTGTATACTTTGTTTATATTCAGCAGCTAAGTATATTTTGTCCTGTTATCATGACTTAACCTGTGATTTGTTTCAAAAGTGCAAGTAAGGTTTTAAACATAATTATAGTGTAATCTCTTTAAATTTTGCTGCATTATCACTCAGAATGAGAAAAATCTAAATTAAAAGTGTGTGCACATGTATACACATTTTTCAATGTACAAACTTAGGTATCATGTTAGATTCATCACGATTTGAAAATGAAATTTGATTATAATACTTGCAGGATGACTTACAAGTTAATATTTATATGTACACTTACAATTTTTATAATTTTTAAAACCATCCAATATGTTAGTTTTCTTTGATTTCTAATGATAACAGTAGAAATATCTGGCCCTGGTTATCATATCTGGTTGTTATGATCAATAGAAATGATATATGAAAAAGCAAATACATTTTAAAACTTTTTAATATTAATTTTTATTGTTACATATTCTGAATAATGCAGTTTTATAGTTATTATTATAACATGACACAAATGGTAGAGATTTTGATGCCTACATTTTTAATAAAAATGTTCAAAACCACATTTCACAAAATGTATCATGCTGTAAGGTTGCAACAGCCCTCTCAAATAGAGTTCTGCCTTTCTCTTGCCATTTAAACTAATGCTATCTGAGAGTGCAACAGAAGGCCCTCATTACATGCTGGTATCTTGATCATCGACTTCCTTGCCTACAGAACTATCAGAAAATAATTTTCTATTTTTTATAAATTACCCAGTCTCAGGTATTTTGTTACAGCAGCACAAAACAGACTAAGACATAAAGTGTAAAATTATCCTTCCATATTGCTGCAAGTGAAATGATTTATTTTTTATAGCTGTGTAGTATTCATTGTGCGTGTATGTGTGTGTATATATGTATATATGTATATCACATCATTTTCTTTATCCAGTTATTTGTTGATGGTCACATGTTGATTCAATATCTTTGGTACTATGAATATTGCTGCTATAAATAAATGAGTGCAAATATCTTTTTTGGTATAATGATATTTTTTCTTTTGGGTATACACCCAGTATAGGATTGATAGAGTGAATTGTGGCTCTTTAATACTTGAAAAAATTTTCATACTGTTTTAATAGAGGTGGGACAAATTTACATTCCTTCTAATTATACTATAAGGCTATAGTAACAAAAACAATATGATACTGATATAAAAATGGACACAATACTCAATAGAGCAAAATAGAAATTCCAGGAATAAAGTGACAAAGGCACTTTGTCACTTTATTAGTGGATATTTATAAAGGGACCTACCTACAGTCAATGGATGTTTGACAACATTGAAAAAAAATACACTGGGAAAAGGATATCCCCTTCAATAAATAGTGCAGGGAAAATTGGAAAGCCACATGCAGAGGAATAAAACTGGGCCCCTATCTGTTGCCATCCACAAAATTAACTCAGGATGAATTAAAGAATTAAATATAATACCTGAAGATATAAAAAGTACTCATAGAATACCTGGAAAAACTCTTCTAGACATTGGCCTTGGCAAAAAATTTGTGACTAAGACCTCAAAAGCAAATTTAGCAAAAACAAAAGTAGACAAATGGGACTCAATTAAACAAAAAAGTTTCTGCACAGCAAAAGAAATAACTGAGAAAACAGATAACCTGAAGAATGTGAGAAAATATTTGCAAACTATGCATCCAACTAAGTACTAATATCCAGAATCGACAAGAAATTCAAACAACTCAACAACAACAACAAAATAGATAACCCCATTAAAAAATGGACAAAATACATAAACAGGCATTTCTCAAAAGAAGACATACAAGTGGACAGCAAACATATGAAATAATGCTCAGTCTCATCATCAGAGAAATAAAAATTAAAACCACAATGAAATGTCACCTTATACTAGTCAGAATGGCTATTTTTTAAAAGTCACAACACATCAGGTATTGATGAGAATGCAGAGAGAAGTGAGTGAATCCTTATATAGTATAGGTGACATTTTTATTTATAGAATATCAAAATAGTTACTTAAAATTCATTTGAATTATAAAATATTAAAATGTAGATTTATGAATACTTTGTACTTTCTAAGTTTAACCACAATAAAAATCCAAACTACCACTGTTGTGTCCATAATAATTCATAATTGTATGTGATGATGTTGAGAAATCTTCCTAAATATCAGGATTCGAGTCCCTCATTTATTTTAATGAAAATATCATTCTTAAAAGCATTTCAAGGAATATAGCTCAATAATTCAACAAATAACATTTGCAAATTGATAATCCATGGTTCAAAGATGTCAAGATGAACTCAAAGTCTACAGGGATACCCTTTTGATTCAAGGAAATAATGTTACCCTAAATGAGAGAAGATAGGGAAGACCATGTCAAATGAATCACTTTTTGATGTGGTTTGGCTGTGTCCCCACCCAGATCTCATTTTGAATTTTAGTTCTCATAATCCCCATGTGTCATGGGAGGCACCTGGTGGGAGGTAATTGAATCATGAGGGCGGTTACCCTCCGTGCTGTTCTTGTGATAGTGAGTGAGTCTCACAAGATCTGATGGTTTTATAAGGGGATTCCACATTTGCTCGGCTCTCATTCTTCTCCTTCCTGCTGCCATGTGAAGAAGGACTTGATTGCTTCCCCTTCCACCATGATTGTAAGTTTCCTGAATGTTACCCAGCTGTATGGAACTGTTAGTCCATTAAAGTTCTTTTCCTTATAAATTACCCAGTCTCGGGTATTTCTTCATAGCAGCATGAGAACAGACTAATACACACTTCAATATTGATTTACATTTCTATGATCATCAGTGACCTTGAGTATTTTTTAATGTTTGTTGGCAACTTGCATGTCTTCTTTTGATAAATGTCTGTTTATGTCATTTGCCTACTTTGTAATGACATAATGTGTTTATTTATTTATTTATTGAGTTCCATGTAGATTCTGGATATTAGTACTTCGTTAGATGCATAATTTGTGAATATTTTCTCCTGTTCTGTAGGTTGCCTGTTTACTCTGTTGATTATTTCCTTTGCTGTGCAGAAGATTTTTACTTTACTTAGGTCCCATTTGCCTATTATTATTTTTGTTTCATTTGCTTCTGATGACTTAGTCATAAATTCTTTGTCAAGGCTGATATTCAGTAAAGTTTTCCTAGGTTTTCTTCTAGGAATTTTACAGGTTTTTACATTTGAGTATTTAATCAATCTTAATTTTTATATATGGTGAGATATAGGAACCCAGTTTTATTCTTGTGTATATGGATATCCAATTTTTCTAGTACAATTTATTGAAAAAGGTATCCTTTCCACATTGTTTATTTGTGCATGCTTTGTTGAAGATTAGTTGGTTGAAGGTATGTGGCTTTATTTCTTGGTTCTCTATTTAATTTTATTAAACTATGTATCTGTTTTTGTATTGGTACTATGCTGTTCTTGTTACTATAGGTTTGTAGTATAATTTGAAATGGGGTGAAGTGCTGACTCCAGCTTTGTTCTTTTTGCTTAGAATTGCTTTGGCTATCCGGGTCATTTTTTCAATTCAGGATTTCATATACACTTTGGGATTGCTGTTTTCTAATTCTGTGAAAAATGACATTGGTAGTTTGATAGAAATTGCATTGAATCTTTAGATTGCTTTGGACACCATGGTCATTTTTAATTTTTTTTAACCCATGAACATGGGATATTTTTCCATTAGTTTGTTTTATTTCAGGTTTCTTCCACCCATCTTTTGTAGTTCTTATTGTAGAAATATTTTACCTCCTTGGTTAAACGTATTTCTCAGTTATGTGTGTGTGTGTGTGTGTGTGTGTGTGTGTGTGTGTGTGGCTATTGTAAATGAGATTGAGTTCTTGATTTTGTTCTCAGCTTGAATATTATTGCTATATAGAAATACTACTGACTACTGGACATTGACTTTGTATTCTGAAACTTTATTGCAGTCATTTGTCAAGTCTAGGAGTCTTTCGGAGTCTTTAGGGTTTTCTTTGTATAAGACCATGCCATCTCTTAATGTAACTTCTATCCTAACTTTTGTGGTAATTTTTTTCTTGCATTTTTTATAATTTTATTTTCTAATTTGTTTATCCAGAAATACCATTTAGTTCTGTTTGGTATTAGACTTGGAAACAGTGCAAATTTTCTTTCTTAATAAATAATGAAAATAAATTTCGTTTTTGAAATTCATCCATGTTTTTGCATAGTTCATTCATTTTTATTGATGTATTGAGTAGTCTTAAGTTACCAATTTCATTTTTAATAGTTATGCTTTTTCCAAAAATTTTATAATAATTAGTAGTTTTATCATGACTATTCCTATATACATATTCATATAAATGCATAACAAAGAGTGCAATTGCTCATTTGGAGGGCATGCCATCTTTAGCACTATGACTATTAAATAAATTGTTTGCATTGATTAAGAGAGTGATATTCCACATCATCACCAGGACTGTGGATTATCAGACATTTTAAGTAACTGTGGCTCCCCATACAGGATAACTTGGTTAAACTTGCTATTCACTTGGCATCCCTAGCATTATATTATTGTCATCATAAGAATGGAACCCAAGGTTCTAGAGTTTTTAATCAATTATCAAACAACAATTAATTGAATACCGTGTAAGTTCCTAACCTTGTGCTAGCCGTTGTCCTACATTTGTGATAAGAATAGATAAAGTGCCCTTCTACCTAGCAGTTTAGACAATAAACAAGGAGAAAAGAAATTAAATGTGTATTGTATGATAGCAGGTTAGTGATAATCACTAATAATCCAATGAGTTTATATGATACCAAAATATTGATTAGATCAGGAAATCACTGCTAAAGAGGAAACATTATTTGTCAGTATGTTTATAACAGATGGAGCAATGAGTATAAAAGTCATGTGTTAGGGTATGCAAGATGATGATATAGAGCAGAGTAATCAAGGCAAAGGATAATGGTAGGTGGAGAAGCCAGCTTATAGTTCTGAGCAAGATTATATCTTTAGCTTTTATTAGGCATGTAAATGAAATACTTTTGAGATTTTCAGCTGGAAAAATGAAACTAATGTGAAATGCATTATATTGCCAGAGGTGACTTCCATTGCCTGGTGGGGAAGAGACTGGAGGAAGGATGGATAATGGCAGCACACAGATGCTGCTGAGAAGCTATTTTAGTAGTTCATGTAAGAGACAATTGTCAAATTTGCAATAAACTTCCAGGTGAAATGGAATTGACTTTCTAATGGCTTGGAATGGTGTATATAAAACAGCTGGTAATGACTCCATGTTTTGAAGCTTTAGAAAATAGATTAATAATGGCTCAAATTACTGAGTGAAAAATTACTGGGAAAGAAGCAGGATTGGCAGGATGCAGATAAAGAATTCTGTTTTACTTACTAAGGTTGAGAGGCCTATTTGATATTCAAGGCAGTTGCAAATGAGATGAGTGTTCAGGAATGAGATATCAGCTAAAGATATAAATTTTAGTCTTGTGCCCATATCTTAGCTGCAAGGAAGGATTTTATGAACTGCTGGTGAGACTGTAAATCAGTGCGATCAATGTAGACAAAGAAATAAATGCATACACCATGTCATCTTGTAATAACTCCCAACCCCCAACACCTAAAGAAGAGACTGTGTGTTTAAGTTGGGAGTGTATTGTGGAGTAAGAATAAGAAACAGGATGGGTGCTATAGGGAGAGAGAGTAAAATCTAGAACACATTATTAAGTTAGGTGATGTAATACTATATGACCATTCACTGAAGTGAAACAACGGGGGAAATATGTATCCATCAGCTCTAGGAGTTCCATTTTTCAAGCATAGCCTCATGGATGCTAACTTCTCAATGTGTCTAGACAGTGCATTTATGAGTACCAAGCAAAATGCCTACAACAATCCACACAACATTGTCTGAGAAATCCCACAGCAGAAAGTGAATTATTGCTCTAGTCTGAAGCCACATACTATCACTTCCATCTTTATGAAACTGACCAAAGTCTACATAAAAATAGTAACCAAGGCTCTGACTGGAACAAGAGGTAATGCTGAGAGGGTCTGCAGTGATGTAAGATCCAATACACCCTATGATTTTTAAATTTTGTTCCTGGGTTTATATCCTAGAGAAACTCTGACATATATATGTGTATATATATATATATATACATTTATATATATACACATTTAATATATATATACACACATACACATTCATAGCAGCTTTTTGTTGAAATAGCAAAAAATGAGAAAAAAACTAAATGGCAATATAATGAACAAAAGGGAGCTGTGTTTTGATATTTTTATATAGTACAATGCTAAACAGCATTTGAAATAATTGATAAGAATTATATGCGCCAACATAGATGGACATCATCAATGTCATATAAAACAAAATAAAGCAGAAGGTAGATAGACACTTTTTTTTTGAGTCGGAGTTTTTGCTCTGTTGTCCAGGCTGGAGTGCAGTGGTGTGATCTTGGCTCACTGCAACCTCCGCCTCCCGGGTTCAAGCAATTCTCCTGCCTCAGCCTCCTGAGTAGCTCGGATTACAGGCGCCCTCCACCACGCCTGGCTAACTTTTGTATTTTTAGTAGAGACAGGGTTTCACCATGTTGGCCAGGATGGTCTCGAACGCCTGACCTCAGGTGATCCACCCGCTTAGGCCTCCCAAAGTGCTGGGATTACAGGCATGAACCACCACGCCCTGATGATAGACACGTTTTTAACTTCTAAAAATATATGATCATGATTAAATTGTGTCTGTGGAGACTTGCACATATACTAAATTTTAAACAATTAGAGATATTTGTTCATTACCACATTTTAGGAGTCATTATTTCCTCTATGAAGAGAGAAAGGAATTTGATACAAGTTCACAGGGGCTTCCAGTAGATTGAGACTTTTATTTCTAGCTGAGCTGCTGATGTATGAATTTTTTTTGTTATTATGACTTTCATATGTATTAAAAATAAAATGACAAAACAAGGATTAGGTGAGGAACCTATACGTCTCTAATATGCCGAATACCACAGAAATAATGACTGTTGGGAAATTAGGCCTTAGCTCTGATGTTTGAACCATCCCCTCAATGTTTCCCAGTGCTTCTTAGAGTATTTTGATCACCTCTGTGTTGGTGCTTTAGAACTAGAGAAGCCCGTTTTGTTAACTTTTTGTTTTTTTTTTTTTTGAGACAGAGTTTCACTCTTATTGCCCAGGCTGGAGTGCAGTGGCACAATCTCGGCTCAGTGCAACCTCTGCCTTCTGGATTCAAGCGATTCTCCTGCCTTGGCCTCCAGAGGAGCTGGGATTACATGCCACCACATCTAGCTAATTTTTTGTATTTAGTTGGTCGGGCTGGTCTTGAACTCCTGACCTCAGGTGATCCACCCGTGTCAGCCTCCCAAAGTGCTGGGATTACGTGCGTGAAACACTGCACCTGGCCTTTTGTTAACTTTTAGTTTAAGTTCAGGAGTACACGTGCAGGTTTGTTATACAGGTAAACTCGTGTCATGGGGATTTGTTGTACAGGTTATGTTGTCACCCAGGTATTAAGCTTAGTACCCATTAGTTACTTTTCCTGAACCTCTCCCTTTTCCCACCCACTACTCTCAGGTAGGTCCGAGTGTGTGGTGTTCTCCTCTATGAGTCCATGTGTTCTTATCATTTGGCTCACATTTATAAATAAGAACATGCTGCATTTGTTTTTCTGTTCCTGCGTTAGTGGGAGCTGAGGATGGGTGGAGCTGAGGATAATGGTCTCCAGCTCCACCCATGTTCCTGCAAAGGACATGATCTTGTTCTTTTGTATGGATGAATACTATAAAGTCTTCCAAACTGTTTTGGTTTTGGTTTGTTTTCTTTCTTGAGAAAGGAAAGACAAAATAGAAATAAAAGAGTAGGCCGAGCGGGGTGGCTCACGCCTGTAATCCCAGCACTTTAGGAGGCTGAGGCAGATGGATCACTAGGGGTCAGGAGTTTGAGACCAGCCTGAACAACATGGTGAAATCCAGTCTCCACTAAAAATACAAAAAATCAGTCAGGCATGGTGGCACATACCTGTAATTCCAGCTACTAGGGAGGCTGAGGCAGGAGAATCGCTTGAATCTGGGAGGCAATGGGTTGCAGGGTGTGCCGGGATGGCACCACAGCCTGGGTGAAAGAGTGAGACTCCGTCTCAAAAAAAAATAATAAAATAAAAAAGGGAGAGAGAAAGAGTACCAATGTATGGCAGAAATCAAGAGAAGAGTTTGCTTTTTTGAATAACTACACCCTGGACATTAGTTTCAAGAAACCGTCTGCTGGAAATATAACTATATGTTTAAGTTGATGGATCATTATTACACGTAGCATAAAGAAAGTCACTCCTTGCTAGAAAGCCCTATGTAGGTCATTAGGCATCACAGTGTGGAGTTATCTAAGCAAGCACCAAGGTAGGATATCTGAATAACTGGTTTATTTCCATGTTTACTGAGAATATTCATTGCAACAAGTCAGTAGAGAAACAGTAAAGAGGGCAGGCATGGCTATGCTTCTATAGAATCTAGTGAAGAGGAGATAATTTCAAATAACCCAAGAAGGTAAATGAGTAGTCAAATTTTGAAAAGGACTATTAACTCACAAACAGGAAACTATAATAGAAAATAGTTGGTTGAAGGCAGAATGCCCAGTTCAGAAAAGATTCCTCTGAAAAGCAATATATAAGCATAGACTTCGAGGATGAAGAGTCACTCATTTTGAAAGAGCAGATGAAGAAAGTTTCAGGACAAAGAAACAGCATCTGCAAAGACCTCAACAAAGATATCACACAGAAAATGCCGTATTTAATCTGTTGCTAGACAAAAGTGAGCTACGGATCACATGGTCTTGGATGAGGGAGACAGATGATATAGTTTGGATGTCCCGCCCAAATCTCATGTTGAAACCAGATCCCCAGTGCTGAAGGTGGAGCTTGGTGGGAAGTGTTTGGATCATGGGGTCGAATCCTTAAGGCGTGGCTTGGTGCTGTCTCCATGGTAGTGCACCTACCCCAACACACTCTCTCTCTCTTGTTCCTGCTTTCACCATGTGAAGTGCCTGCTCCTGCTTTGCCTTCTGTCATGAGTAAAAGCTCCCTGAGGCCTCTCCAGAAGAAGATGCCGCTGTGCTTCCTGTACAGCCTGCAGAACTGTGAGTCAATTAAACATTTTTATAATATCCAGTCTCAGATATTTCTTCCTAGCAATACAAGAACAGCCTAATATAACAGCTAAGCAGGGACTAAAGTCATCAAAATTAGAATTGTGCATTTAATTTTGATTGCATTTAATTTTGATTGCATTGAAAAGGCAGATGCTTTGAGGCTAGAATGAGGTAATAACTGTTTTGTTTTGTTTTGTTTTGTTTGCTCTTAACAAATTAGTCTGAATTCAGTCCATAGTAAATTGGAGAGGAACTGGTAGAAGATAAAAGAACTGGTAAAAAGCCATTGTAAATACTCAAGTTTCAAAAACAATTTTGTGGTAAGGGCAAATCCTCAGGTCAAGAAAAGTGTGTTACTAAATTCTGTTACTTTCCAGAAGAAAGATAAAGTCATATGACACAGATTTTACTCCTTACGTTAGAGAGTGTGCTAAGGATACCACCCACATTTTCCAACATTTATTTCCATCATGTTTTATGATCTTCATCTATATTCCATCCTCATTATTTCTAGCAAGTCTATGAAATTTCTTACATTAATAGAAATAATGTATTAATATTCAGCAATGTGCTAAACATTGTTGAAACATTGTCTCAATATTACTCTTGGAAGAGCTCTGAGGTAGACAATATTTCCAATATATGAGTCATGAGGAAACTGAGGAATGGAAAGATTAAACAACTTGTTGAGGGTAGCATAATTGTAAATGGTGAAGACATAATACAAATCCTAGTATCTATGACTCTAATGCTTTAAAAAATCATTATATACACTACGCTGTCTCTGATGTGTGAATCTACCCACTTCTAATTCATTATAACAAGTATTTGTTGCCAGGTAGCATTCTAGGCTTTGGGGATACATCTTTGGAAAAGCTTATAGAAATCTCTGTCCTCAGGGAACTAATATTCTAGGGACTATACAATAAACAATAAGCAAAAATGTAACATGTATAGTGTGTTAGACTGTAGTAAGTACAATGGCAAAAAATTAAGAATGGAGAATGTCTAAGGGGACAGATTGTTTGGACTTTGAATAAAGTGGCTATGGAAAACCTCACTGGGATAATGGCATCTGACCAAAAGCATGAGGAAGATATAGAACAAACCGTATCTGTTGCATGTTTAGTAATAACCAAGAAAATACTGTACGTGAAGCTGAGTGAGAAAATTACATAGTGGAAGGAGGGAAGTCCATAGAAGAATTGGGGGCTTCATGTGGTGGAGCATCTATAAAGCATTGTGCATGTTCTGACTTTTACAATGAATGAAATGAGAGATCAGAGTTTTACACAGAAAAAGGTAATAACCTGATACATGTTTTAAAGTGATTATACAAATTGCTCTTTTGAGGATGTACTGAAGGGTGCCTTATGCAGAATCAGAAACACCTGTTTGCTGGCCATTTCAATAACCTGGGCAATAAATGATGGTGGTTAGCACCAGGATGCTAGTGGTGAAAGTAGCAAAAATGATCAGAATTGAGCTGCATTTTGAACATACAGTTAATAAGTTCTGTGGCATGACAGAAAAATGATTCCATAGTATTTGTATTGAGCAACTTTGTTGATTTGATATTCATACTAAGTCCTAATATTAAACAATGTAGGAATTTCAATGAAAATATGACCAAAGGGAGAAAATGGCTCCCAACCTACTGTAATTAAA
This sequence comes from Homo sapiens, assembly GCF_000001405.40. Lineage (NCBI taxonomy): Eukaryota > Metazoa > Chordata > Mammalia > Primates > Hominidae > Homo > Homo sapiens. Next base: position 21,508,494 of record NC_000005.10, on the reverse strand, counting down.
GTTCCCTTCTGTTGTTTTAAAATGCTACTATGGATAGAGAAAACAAGATATGGATTTGGAAGAAAATTACCCACAGTCTAATTGTCAGATTTATTGACTTAATGTTACATGGCAATAAAGTTGAAAGAAAAATAAGAAGAAATTCTAAAAGCCAGCATGTTAGATTTATTCCCTCCACAAAAAGAATTGCTAATATTTATAAAGTGAGATAATATGCCAAATACTTGTACTTGGCATAATTGCATTTTCTCAACAAATCCTATATAATCAATATTGTTTTATTTGTATATGTGTGAAAAATCATGACACCTGCAGTTTAAGTTACATTTGTATGAAACAGTCAATATGTGGCAGAGCCAGAATAAAGCCCACGTTTAGATTAAAGGAATTCTCTTTCCATTGCACCACCCCATATTGCCTGTGGAAACCCTAAACAAGCCATTTAAATTTGTTGGAATTCCGTTTTTCAACTTTTTAAAACTAAGAGTCCAATCCTAAATCAAGTTAATGTTTAAATTCTTCACTTATGCTTAGTATGTACATTATTCCAAAATGTGAATTGGTCCCAAATATCATATTCATTCTAACAGAGGACATTAAAAGTTTAAAAGATATCTGTTATATGGCTGAACTGATTATATTTTATCGGAAAGTGAAAGGAACTGAAAGGAACTACTCAGCATATTTCTAATGAGTATACAGAGGAAAAGTATTTTGCCTCATTTAATTTTGTAAAATCTCTCTCTGGCACATAATTCACAGTCTTTTTTTGCCCACAGGAATAGTGAGGCAGATATGTATTAATTCATGTCATAATACAAGAATAGGTAGCGATAAAACACTGGCATTTTCCAAATTGCCAGTATAAAGAATTGTCAGAAGAACATGGGTATTAGCTTCAGATTCTCCAAGGGGTTAACATTTATGTTATCTGTTAAATATGAATTATGTATTAACTTCTCATATTTCATATATAAAACTTTATGCTTTGGTCCTGTTCCTCGGGATGACCTTGATGTAATCAGAAATAATAGTGTTCTTTACCAAAGACATTAATCAATAACTTTATAATATGAAGCACTATGAATATTTAATGGCTTCAGCTTGAATAATTCAAATCCCGTATTACTAAAAAATAAAGTCAATTGAGTGACTGAGAGTTCCATATTCCACAATTCCTACTCTGCTTACTACCTATTCTATTTACTATTCTCTTTACTATTTGAGAAGGGTATGGAGTTGTGTATGTTGCAAACATCACGTATCTTTTGTTCGACTTTCTTGAACACGTCATATTATTTTTTTTAGTTCATTTTCTGAATATAAGTAATTTTTGGCGAATTAATACTTTAAACAAGAGTTCACCTGGAAAGCAGTAGGCAAAATTTCATTAAAAATATTATTTTATTAACATACCTTAAAAATGTAATAGGACAATGCCTCAAAGAACAATTTCAAAATAAAAACACAGAAAACAAATGACCAGCAAAATTGCTCTGAAGTCTTAAAAACAGAAATAAATACTTCAATAATCATAGGTAATATGGAAATCCAATGTATGACTTACCTATAGAAAACCCTTCTGGAATTTCATTTAAATCTAACGTCAATATGAGCTATGTAGGAAGTCCATTAATAAATAAGAATATTATATAGGTACACATGTATATATTAATTTTAAGCCATATGCAGCCCTATTTGAAAATGTTAAAAAAAAATCATCAGGATTAGTCCATACTGATTATTAAAAAATAAAATTGTCATTGCTCATTGTAGAAGATAAATGTCAGCTGTGCAGCAGATGTGTTTATAGCCACCCAGTAATCCTATCGCCTCAATAATGCATTTCCCTTTTTTTAGTTAAAAACTTAATTACATTAAGAAACTGTATGTGTTTAGGAATATGAATATAGAAGGAGTAATCATCGTTTAGTAAAATAAGTTTTACTTGCGTAGTAAAATTTACTGTGTTTGTGAAGATGCTGATAGTACATTACATATGGAGATCCAAGTGCACATAGTCACTAATTCTTTAAACTATGTTTGATATTAGTAATAATTTACTTTACATATATATCGGAATTTAATTGAAAAATAGTAAATGACTGCTAATATACATTATTCTTCTGAGTTGCATTTTTGCTTAATGAAATAGAATTTTTAAAAAAATTGTTTATCTTTATTCCTACTAGATTATACATTTCATGAGAAAAGCATTATCTCTTTATTAGTATATTTGTTTACCTATATTAGAACTTGACTTTGAAATAAACCAGATATAATACCATTGTTGTAGATGTATTTATTGTAGTAAAAATAATATTCTGCATCTGAGTTTTGAGCAAGGAGATTTTACAATCTCCTTTCAGTTAGAAAACTACAAGACCCTCTTAACTGATGTTGGAAATGTAAGTAAAGAAGATAAAAATTAAAATGATAAAGAAAAGCATTTGGGGTATAGTATCACTGTGCTTCCCAGGAGAATGAGTTGTAAGTGCTCACTCCGCATTTTTCAGTAACATATACTTAAAGTAAGCACACAGGGGCTACAGATGCTATTTTTTGGTTCAACATGACCTGAGCAGTTAATTATTTGTAAAGGGAAGAAGCAAGAATAGGCTCAGGGAGGGAGACAGAGAAAGATTGGGTGGGGCGGGGAGGGAGGGAGAGTTTCATCTGTATCTAAAACAGATCAGAAGCAATTTCTTCCTCCAACTCCTCACTTGTCTATTTCTACTAATAAAGAGCAAAACCAGACAAAATAGATTATTGTGTCATTTTTGTTTTCTTATTTTGTAATACACAGAAAAACTCAAGCTGGAGACGGAAATGAACAGATGCATATGGCTGGAAAGACTCAGTGCTAATCTCTACAATGTTGTTTTAATAGAATGGAGACAAGACCACATACTTTCTTACAATAATGAGGATCAATAAAGACAAAACTGACACTTTGTAATGAATAATGATCTGAACAATCACCTGAGAAAGTATCTCTTTGTTGCAGGTTTTTGGAAATGGGCTATATTTTTTGAATCATAACCGATATGTACTGCCATAAACAAGAGGATTTCAAGCCAGCTCCATCTGGTCGAAAATTATTTTATTTATTACTAAGAGAAAAGTGTAAGACAAGTCCTGTGGTAAAAACAGATTTATTGCCTCTGCTATTCACCTGTGTTATTTCTTCATATATTACCATTGACATATATTATCCATTCTTCACAGCAATGGCTTTGCCGTGGCAAATTAAATATCTCATTGTCCTTCTCTGGCCATTTTACATTATAATGTTTCTGAGTAGACTTTTATAGCTCTCTCACAGAATTATAGCAAGTCTTTAAATAAAAACAAAATTGAAACAAAAATTTTAGACTCAACTTAAAATCCCTCTTTATTTTATAATTTGGATTTTTAAGTAAAATATGCTATATCCTATTTAACGAGAACTTTCATATGTAATGTATCAATGGAATTATCTAAAGCTCATTTGGTTTTGCATAAAAACACAATTAGAGTAAAAACATTCTAAAATGGACACTGGAATAAAAACAATGAAAGCAAAACTATTAATTTTACATTTTTCATTCAAGTATTTTGATTTTTACTATATTATATTATTATATTAGGTATTAGAGTAATCATTGATCACTTTCAAAACCCTGCTCCTTTCTAGGTGCAATGAAGAATTTTTATTTTATTGAAAAATTATCTTAAAACGTAAGACTGTGAGTGATAGTAAAGATTTAGTAGACCCAATGTATTCTCAGATAAATGTAAAATAAGCAAGATATGAATTAAAGGGTAAATATAGAGTTTAACAGCATAGATCTTAAAATCCATTATCATAAGGTAGAAGGATGTATAATTTATCATGATTAAAATATACTAAATATTCATATCACAGCATTCTGATTTCTGATATCTACAATTTAGGTGACATATATACATATGTGTGTATATATATATAACTGTATTATTTGATATTTTAAAAGTTAAAAGAGTTATATATTCAAATACCATTCTAGTTGTTGCTCTGAAAGTATTTTTAGATGAGATTAACATGAAAATCAGTAATTTTTGAGTAAAGCAGATTATTTTCCAAAATATTGTAGGGCTCATCCAGTCAATTGATTATATTAAAAGACTGAGATCCCTGAAGGAAATAATTCTGCCTGCAGATTGCCTTTCGTCTTGAGACTGTAACATCAACTTTTCTCTAGGTCTCTTGCTTGCTAGCCTACCCTGCCAATTTTTTATACATTAAAAAATATTTTTCTCAAATACTGTAGTTCTGCTATTTCCAGAAACGCTTGAGGATTGTACTTCCAAGTTCTTTTAAAGTTGATCATGGTCATGAAACTCATCATCAAATGGCATTTGAGCAAAATCTTTATTAATTAAACATGAGTGGAAGTTTCAAGGCCAATGCACAACTCACTCAGGCATTGTGAACTATGTGTGCAGACAGATCACAACTCATCCTTGGTCTCTGGGTGTGTCTGCGTCTATTACTGACTTACTCTGGATATGTAAAATGAGTAAGAAAAACTTTTTGTGTTAGCCACTGGGATTTTTGGTTTGTGTATTACTTTAGCATATTATCTCATTTTGAATGCTATAGTTTAGGACACTAGTTTAAACTACTGAAGTTAAAATGTTCTCCTTATTTCAGAGGATAGAAGGATCTTACAGTGACAGACATCCATTAGTAAGAATTAATTTCTAGAGATAAAATGAATTCAGTAACCACAGTGTCAGTAGAGTCAGCATGGTCAAAATAGTCTACATGGGAAATGCTTGGTGGCTCTTAGTTGATCATGGAGTCTCTAGAACCAAAAGTTATGAATGCCAATTAAGTTTCTATTTGGCTTATATGATCTCAAATCTTCAGGTTTACAAAACATATCTTGAGCCACCACCCAGCTCTGTCACCCAGGCTGGAGTGCAGTGGTACCATCTCAGCTCATTGCAGCCTCCGCCTCGGAGGTTTAAGCGATTCTCATGCCTCAGCCTCCTGAGTAACTGGGACTACAGGTGCTCACCACCATGCAGGGATTTTTTTTCTATTTTTTTGTAGAGACACGGTTTCACCATGTTGGCCAGGCTGCTCTCGAACTCCTTACCTCATGATCCGCCCACCTCAGCCTCCCAAAGTGCTGGGATTACAGGCATGAGCCACTGCACTGAGCCTACAGCTCATTTCTTAACACACAAAGCTTTGCACCTCTCCACAAAACTGCCATCAGGGATGTCCCCAGAAACCATTCATCCCAGGTGCCACGCAGAGAAGAGTTTCTTGTTCTCCTTTTCCCTTTACCTCTTCCCTCTCACCTCATCATGTTCATTCATTCATCCCTTTTCCATTCTCACTTTTAAGCTTTAACCTTTCAAAAGCCTATCTTCCCCTATAAGTAATGTATTGTAACTCCCGCCATCACCATATCCTTCTCCAACCAACCAAACTGCCATCCTGAGTTTATGGAAAGTCCATAAACTAAGAAGAAATGGGAAACATTCATTGCTAACTTGGCAGCCCCTCATCCACCCTACGTGAGAGCACAGATCTTATTGTCTTTGAAGACCCTTTCTTTTCTTTTCTTTTTTTTTTTTTGAGAAGCAGTCTCACTGTCGCCAAGGCTGGAGTGCAGTGGCACAATCTCGGCTCACTGAAAGCTCCAACTCCTGGGTTCACGCCATTCTCCTGCCTCAGCCTCCCGAGCAGCTGGGACTACAGGCGCCCGCCACCACGCCCGGCTGATTTTTTTTGTATTTTCAGTAGAGACAGGGTTTCACTGTTAGCCAGGATGGTCTCGATCTCCTGACCTCATGATCTGCCTGCCTCGGCCTCCCAAAGTGCTGGGATTACAGGCATGAGCCACCGTGCCCAGCTCCTTTTTTTTTTTAAAGACAGGTCTCACTCTGTTGCCCAGGCTCAAGTGCAGTGGTGTAATCATGGCTTACTGCAGCCTCCATCTCCTGTGCTCAGGCTATCCGCCTGCCTCACCCTCCCAAGCAGCTAGGACTACAGGCACACACCACCACACCTAGCTAATCTGTTTAGTTTTTGTAGAGATGGGGGTCCTGCTATGCTGAACAGGCTGGTCTCGAACTCCTGGCCTCAAGCAATCCTCCCACCTTGGCCTCCCAAAGTGCTGGGATGACAGGCATGAGCCACCATGCCTGGTCTGAAGACTTTTAAATGCTGCCATATTCAAGACGCATTGACACTCACCTGTATTCGATGAGCCTACTTTTCGCAAATGAGTAACATAAAACAGACTGAAATACCTTAAGCTTCTCAGCCTTTTACCCTCCTCTGGAATAATGAGTGTATCCCAAAAGTAAATCCATAATGAGGTCCAGTTTTTCCTTCATCCTTGGCTATGAAATAGACAAGAAAAAGGCAAGCTAGCCATTTCCATCTCACTATAGCAGACTCTCATGTTTGCTTTTTGACCGTATGTGGGAAGCGGGGGCCTGACTGCTTTCCTACTTCCTAAGCACAACTTACTTTTCCTAGGAAATTCTCAACACAATCTACATGGATTAAACCAGCTTCCCCCCTTTGTTTCCAATATTCTTACAGCCAAAATGTCCAGAATGGGCAAGGCAACCTGAAAAAATGAGGACGGGTACATTATCCCATGCGCTAAACTGCCACTTACACTGGTTAGTCATGAAATCGGCAAAATTCCAGATGAGCTCTCCAACCACGTATTTTCTGCGTTTTTGATTGAGACCCAGATGGTACTGCTCTAGCAGACTTTTCTGGTACTCTTCACTGAACATCAAGGTGGATCCTGGGATTCAAGGCAAAGAGAATTAAGAGTAAGAACTGGCAGAATTGTAAATGTTAGGTAAAAATAAAGATCCACTTGATGGTGACCAAAATATCTGTCCTCACTGGGGGCTGTAGTGACTGCAGGACTCACTGATGCTAGGGTAAAGACAGCCAGGGAGAAATTGGAAATCATCATTCTCAGTAAACTATCGCAAGAACAAAAAACCAAACACCGCATATTCTCACTCATAGGTGGGAATTGAACAATGAGATCACATGGACACAGGAAGGGGAATATCACACTCTGGGGACTGTTGTGGGGTGGGGGGAGGGGGAAGGGATAGCATTGGGAGATATACCTAATGCTAGATGACGAGTTAGTAGGTGCAGCACACCAGCATGGCACATGTATACGTATGTAACTAACCTGCACAATGTGCACATGTACCCTAAAACTTAAAGTATAATAATAAAAACAACAACAACAACAACAAAAAAAGACAGCCAGGGAATGATGTAACCCAGAATTAAAAAGGAGGTTTAAAAAAAAAACATCAATTAGTAACTGCTTTATTTATAAATATAACCTGATACTCAATTTTTATTACTTTTCCGTCTCTATCTGCTGATACAGTCTTAAAGCTGAACTACACTAGAAGGAAAAATATGTCTTTAGGTCAGGCGCGCTGGCTCATGTCTGTCATCCAAGCACTTTGGGAGACCGAGTTGGGAGGACTGCTTGAGCCTAGGAGTTCAAGACTAGCCTACAAAAAGTACAAAAGTTAGCCAAGCATGGAGGCACACACCTGTGGTCCCAGCTACTTGGGAGGCTGAGGTGGGAGGACTGCTTCAGTCCCGGAGGTCAAAGCTGTGGTGAGCTGTGTTTGCACCACTACACTCCAGCCTGGGTGACAGAACAAGACCCTATCTCATGAATGAATGAATGAATGAATGAATGAATGTAAAATGAAATTAAACTAAACCAGGCTGGGCATGGTAGCTCAGGTCTGTAATCCCAGCACTTTGGGAGGTCGAGGCAGGAGGATCACTTGAGCTCAGGAGTTCAAGATCAGCCTAGGCAACACAGTGAAACCCAGTCTCTATAAAAAGGCTAAATATTCACTAGGTGTAGTGGCGCATGCCTGTGGCTCCAGCTACTTGGGGGGCCGAGGAGGAAGGATCACTTGAGCCCAGGAGGTTGAGCAGTGAGCTGTGATTACGCCACTGCACTCCAGCCTGGGCAACAGAGTACGGCTGTCTCAAAAAAATTTTTTTTTAATTAAACCAAATAAATTCAGTTATCCTAGTCATATATCAAGACCTCAATAGCCACATGTAGCTAGTGGCTACCATTTCAGACAGTGCAGACATGGGGCATTTCCATCATTGCAAAGGTTCTTTTTTGAAACAAGGTCTCACTCTGTCACCCAGGTGGGAGTACAGTGGTGCAATTATGGCGGACTGCAGCCTTGACCTACTGGGCTCAAACAGTCCTCCTACCTCAGCCTCCCAAGTAGCTGGGACTAGAGGCAAGCACGACCATACCCAACAATTTTTTTTTTTTTTTTTTTTGAGACGGAGTCTTGCTCTGTCGCCCAGGCTGGAGTGCAGTGGCACAATCTCGGCTCACTGCAACCTCCACCTCCCCAGTTCAAGCGATTCTCCTGCTTTAGCCTCCTGAGTAGCTGGGATTACAGGTGCATGCCACCACACCCAGCTAATTTCTGTGTTTTCTTAGTAGAGACGGGGTTTCACCATGTTGGTCAGGCTGGACTTGAACTCTTGGCCTCGTGATCCACCCACCTCAGCCTCCCAAAGTGCTGGGATTACAGGCGTCAGCCACTGCACCCAGCCACAACTCATCTTAAATATTTTGTAGAGATGGGGTCCATGTTGTGCAGACTGGTCTCAAACTCCTGGGCTCAAGAGATCCTCTGACCTCGGTCTCCCAAAGGGCTAGCATTCCAGGTGTGAGCCACCACACCCAGCACTGCAGAGGTTCTATCAATGCTCACCTAGACCCTCTCGAGTTTCTTAAGAATTCAGAACTGGGGCTGGGCATGGTGGCTCATGCCTGTAATTCCAGCACATTGGGAGGCCAAGGCAGGTGGATCGCTTGAGGTCAAAAGTTCAAGACCAGCCTGACCAACATGGTGAAACCTCATCTCTACTAAAAAAAAAAAAAAAAAAAAAAATTAGGTGAGCATGGTGGTGCATGCCTGTAATCCAAGCTACTTGGGAGGCTGATGCAGGAGAATTGCTTGAACCTGGGAGGCGGAGGTAGCAGTGAGTCAAGATTGCACCACTACACTCCAGCCTGGGCGACAAGTGAAACTCCTCCTCAAAGGAGAAAGAATTCAGAGCTGGTTACCTTTTCAAAGAGAATGAACAAGGGTGCATATCCACAAACCACTTCCCCCTACTTGACTAGTTTGCAGAAGTGTCATTCTGTAAGCACGATAAATTTAAGGGTGCAAACAGAACAGTGCAGTCCATTGTGGGTGGCTGTTCCCTGTGTGTCAACGGGAGTCCCAGGAGCTGTGCAAAAGAGTGTGAGCTGGCTGGGGAGGGGACAAGGGGCTGGATGGGGTTCAGGAATCCACATGAAAAAAACCCCACAAGACAAAGCAACATATCTTTGGTGAGAAGGACAAAAAATGAGATGGATAAACAAATGAGGACAGGCCAGGCATGGTGGCTCAGGCCTGTAATCCCAGGATTTTGGGACACAGAAGCAGGCAAATCACTTGACGTCAGGAGCTCGAGACCAGCCTGGCCAACATGGCAAAACCCCACCTCTACAAAAATACAAAAATTAGCTGGGCATGGTGGCAGGTGCCTGTAATCCCAGCTGCTTGGGAGGTTGAGGCAGGACAATCGCTTGAGCCTAGGAAGTGGAGGTTGCAGTGAGCTGAGATCACACCATTGCACTTCAGCCTGGGTGACAGAGTGAGACTCCATCTCAAAAAAAAAAAAAAAAAAGACAAAGTGAGTGATTAAACATGGCTCTAAGATCTCACCCATGCCCTCAATAGGTATTATTTAGCATGTGCTGTGTCAGCTATTGCAGAGTACCTGGGAAACAACAATAAATAGGACTCCTGTCTCCTGAGCCCACAGTCCGATCAAAGAGAGAGCCAAAGAAATAACAACGGTGCCTGGCGAGAATGTTGGGAGAGCCAGGTTCCGGCTGCAACAGGGCAGAGCACGGGGAAGGTTCCCTCCGCCTGGGGCAGGCAGGGTAAACCTCCCCACAGAGGGGACAGCTATGAGGAGACTCAGATGCCAAATAGGAATCTTTTCAGCCACGTGTCGTGACTCACGCCTGTATTCCCAGTACTTTGGGAGTCCAAGACAGGAGGTGAAGACCAGCCTGATAGCGAGACTGCATCTCTACAAAATATTTTAAAACTAGGCTGCACATGGTGGTGCACGCCTGTAGTCCCAGCTACTCAGGAGGCTGAGGCAGGGGAATTGCTTCAGCCCAGGAGTTCGAGGCTGCAGTGAGCTATGATGACACCACCACATTCCAGCCTGGGCAACAGAACAAGACCCTGTCAGGAAAAAAATAAATAAAAAAAGGCTAGCACAGTGGATCACACCTGCTAATCCCAGCACTTTCGGAGGCCAAGGCAAAAAGATCAATTGAGTCCAGGAGTTTGAGACCAGCCAGGGCAACATAGCAAGACCCTATCTCTAAAAAAATAAAAAGAAAAGGATCTTTTAGTTGGTGATTATGGTGCCAACATGGGCATTTCAGGCAGAAAGAATAGCTCAAGCAAGAGCAGGAGAGCAAATGAGGGCAGTGGAAACAGATCAGTGGCCAGGAGTGAGAAGAGAAGAGGATGAAAACCCAGGAGAGAACAGAGGACACTGAGTGTCCTGACTAGTGGTTAGGACTTTGTCCTATGGGCCTGGGGGAGCCAATGATAGGACTCAAAAATTTTGATTTGTGGCCGGGCACAGTGGCTCACACCTGTAATCCCAGCGCTTTGTGAGCCTGAGGCAGGAGGATCACTTGATCCCAGGAATTCAAGACCAGCCCGGGGAACACAACAAGGCCCCTTCTCTACAAAAGTAAAAAAATAAGCCAGGCATGTTGGCCTGTGCCTATGGTCCCAGCTACTCAGGAGGCTGAGGTGGGAAGATCGCTCGGGCCCAGGAGGTTAAGGCTGCAGTGAGCAGTGATCGCACCACCGCACTCCAGCTTGGGTGACAGAGAAAGAGGCGGACTCAAAAACACACAAAAATTTGGATTTGTTAGAAAGACCACTTGGGAACGGGTGATAGGAGGCTGTCTGGAAACAAGGCCAGTAAGGAGTCCACCTTTGAGGACCAAGCGAGTGGGACAGAGGCCTGGCTGCTGGTGAGAAGGGAACGTGGACAGGGTAGCGGGAGGTGAGCCCAAAGCTGAAGCAAGGGGAGCACTGCAGTGGGCGCAGGGCAGGGTGGGAGAGGCAAGTGGCATCTCTGCCAAGAGAGAATACACAAGCAGAAAGTTCAACACCGCTTACCTGGTGAAACCCTACAAGCGTTTCCACTCCATACACGCTCTGAATAATGGGATTGTGATGTCTTACACCAGTTCTCAAACTGGGCGGCCAGCTGCAGCTGAATCAACTCCAGGTGCCCGTAGTTGCGATACCAAGAGTAGTAGCTGTTCACACGGATCACATCCACATACAGAGCCTAGGACCAGAGCAGCAGAGCCCGTTCAGCAACCACAAGACCGCATGACTCAGTACTCACATGCTGTGGGGGCTCCTCTGACAGAGAAGGTAAGAAGGGGATGTAATCCCAGCACTCTGGGAGGCTGAGGCAGGAGGGTGGCTTGTGGCCAGGAGTTCGAGACCAGCCTGGGCAACACAGCAAGACCCCAGCTCTACAAAAAATAGTATCAAGAAAATTAGCACGGCACAGTGGCTCATGCCTGTAATCCCAGCACATTGGGAGGCCAAGGTGGGAGGATCACTTGAGCCCAGGAGTTTGAGACCAGCCTGGGCAACATCGTAGGACTCCATTTCTACAAAACAAAACAAAAAGCCTAGAACGGGAAGAGCTGCCTCTCGGGGCTGAGAACATCCAACTGCACCAATTTAGATCCTGAAATTACCCTGCCCCACAAGCAAAAAACATGGTCACAAAGTGGCCCAAAGGAGGCAGGCCTGTGATTGCACACTGACGCTCACGACGTGTGCAGCTGGGAAGGGCTGTGAGAGGCAGAGCAGCTGCCAACACGCAGTCCTCAGCCAAAACCCAGGGCCCCCGCCACTGGAACTGACTCCTCTCCAGGCAGCACTCCCAGCACTGGGCATCCCCTCACCTTGCCCTGGAGAAGCCCTCCCACCCAAGGGGCCAATGCAGTCATTCTCGCAGATAATCTTTTTTCGCTTTATTTGGAAGACAGAGTCTCGCTCTGTTGCCCAGGCTAGAATGGAGTGGCACAATAGTGCAACCTCTGCCTCCCACGATCAAGCGCAGGCGTGGTGGCATGTGCCTGTTATCCCAGCTACTTGGGAGGCTGAGGCAGGAGAATTGCTTGAACCTGGGAGGCGGAGGTTGCAGTGAGCTGAGACTGTGCCACTGCACTCCAGCCTGGGCAACACAGCAAGACTCCATCTTTTTTTTAAAAAAAAAAAAAAAGAATGCTAGTATCAGCCAGGCACGGTGGCTCATGCCTGTAATCCCAGCACTTTAGGAGGCTAAGGCAGGAGGATCACTTGAGCTCAAGAGTTTGAGACTGGCCTGGGCAACATAGTGAGATCCCATCTCTACAAAAACATTTAAAATTAGCCGGGCACAGTGGTGTACACCCGGAGTCCCAGCTACTTGGAAGGCTGAGGCAAGAGGGTTGCTTAGGCCCAGGAATTCAAGGCTGCAGTGAGCTGTGATCACACCACTGCACTCCAGCCAGAGCAACAGAGTAAGACCTTGCCTTCACAAAAAAAAAAAACAAAAACAAAAAAAAACTCAGGTTCCAACCCTGGAGTTACTAAATCAGGATCTCAGAATGCAGAGATCTGGCATTTCAATAAAACTTCCCCTGGAGATTCTGATCAGCCAGGTTTGGGCCAGATGAACTCTAAGCTCACTTAAACCTTTGACATTTTATGAGTCTATTAAATCGAGTACAAAAAATGCTGAGTCCAAACTGGGCAAACAAATCCCATCTCCCTATGCCCAGCCTCCTTAAATTCAGAAAGCCACACTGCCTAGAGAGTAAGCAGAGAGAGAATTGTCATTAACCCAAAGACCATCTTTGAAAACAGACTGGCTGCGGCTGAGTGCGGTGGCACACGCCTGTCACCCCAGCCCTCTGGAAGGCCGAGGCAGGAGGACCACTTGAGCCCAGGAGTTCGAGACCAGCCTGGGCAACATGGCAAGACCCTGTCTCTATCTTTCTAAGTAAAACAAAATAAAAAGCTCAGACTGGCAGCACATGGTTCTTTCCAGCTCTTCCCATGAGCAGGCTTCAGGACAAGCCCAGGCAAAGGCAGGGAGAAATGGGGTGGGGACCCCCAGGCTCACCCCCTTGTCTGCTGCGTAGGTGGAGTTGGTCACAAAGGTCACAGGCTGGGAGGGGTCCAAGGCTTTGGTGTGAGCAATCACCATCCTGTCCACAAAAGAGAGAAGACACAGGTTCCGTCAGTCCGGGAAAGGCTCAGACACCCTCCCATCCTCTCTGTCCCATCTTCCCCTGCCAGAACACAACTGGGGGCCAGGCATGATGGCTCACATCTGTAATCCCAGCACTTCAGGAGGCTGAGGCAGGCAGATCACTGAGGTCAGGAGTTCAAGAACAGCCTGGCCAACATGGCAAAACCCCATTTCTACTAAATATACAAAAATTAGCCAGGCTTAGTGGCACGCATCTGTAACTCCAGCTACTCGGGAGGCTGAGGCACAAGAATTGCTTGAACCCGGGAGGTGGAGGTTGCAGTGAGCCGAAATCACGCTACTGCACTCCAGCCTGGGCCACAGAGCAAGACCCTGCCCCAAAACAAACAAACAAACAAACAAACAAACAAACAAAAAGAAAGAAAAGAAAAAAAAACAAAAAAAAAAACAAAGCACAGAGCCGCTGCTTTCTTCCCTAACTTGAGATGTATTTTACATAAGGGCACGTTCCTCTAGTCCTAGACCAAGCTCTCTAACAACACTCTTTCTCCCCCACCCCTGAATCCAATTCCCCCAGAGGCGTAGCCACCCTGCCAGGTACACAGAGCTGAGGTCACTGGACTGAACACTGCCAAAAATGAGGTTCACTTCCTGAAATAGCCCTTGAACACAGGAGTGAATGGGCTGTGGATTCAGGTGGAATATTTATTAATGCATCAAGCAAACAGGTAGTGCGAGGTGGGAGGTAGGCATGAGGCTGGGTGCTAGGTGCTCAGTAATGACTCAAATCTAAGTCCACAGGTCCTGGGCAGTGGGAGTGGAGATGCATGCACAGAAAAACGGTGCAAGCGCCAGGCGAGGTGGCTCACGCCTAGAACCCCAGCACTTTGGGAGGCTTACTTGAGACCAGGTGCTTGAGACCAGCCTGGGCAACATAGCAAGACCTTGTTTCTACAACAAATTTAAAAATTAGGGCCGGGCATGGTGGCTCAAGCCTGTGAGCACTTTGGGAGGCCAGGGCAGGTGGATCACGAGCTCAAGAGTTCGAGACCAGCCTGGCCAACATGGTGAAACCCCATCTCAACAAAAAATAAAGAAGAAAACTAGCTGGGCATGGTGGCGTGAGCCTGTAATCCCAGCTACTCGGGAGGGTGAGGCAGGAGAACTGTTTGTACCCAGGAGGTAGAGGATGCAGTGAGCCAAGATCGCAACACTGCTCTCCAGCCTGGGAGACAGAGCAAGACTCTGACTCGTGGGGAAAAAAAATATTAAAATTTAGCCTGGCAAGGCAGCGCACGTCTGTGGTCCCAGCTATTTGGGAGGCTGAGAGGGGAGGATCGCTTAAGCCCAGGAGGTCGAGATGGCAACGAGCTATGATTGCACCACTGCACTCCAGCCTGGGCAACAGAGTGAGACCCTGACTCTGAAAAACAAACAATGAAAGAAATGTTGCGAATGGAAATGACAAATGGTGGCAGGAATTGGGCACTCTATGAGACAACAGACACATCCCCGATTGGAGAGTCAGGGACAGGCTCTTAGAAGAAATGGCCTTTATGCTGAGTCAAGTTAACCAGGAGGGATGAAGGGAAGAGGCTCCCAACAGAGGGACCAGTCTGTGCTCAGAGCTCCCAGCATCTGCCCAAGGCCTCCACAGAACAGACTGTTGTGTTTTTGTTTTGTTTTGTTTTTTTGAGATACAGAGTCTCATTCTGTAGCCCAGGCTGGAATGCAGTGGCATTATCTCAGCTCACTGCAATCTCTGCCTCCTGGTTCACCTGAGGCGGTTCTCCTGCCTCAGCCTACCTAGTAGCTGGGATTACAGACGTCCACCACCATGCCCAGCTAATTTTTGTATTTTTAGTAGAGACAGGATTCACTACCTGTTGACCAGGCTGGTCTCGAACTCCTGACCTCAGGTGATCCACCCACCTCAGCCTCCCAAACTGCTGGGATTACAGGCGTGACCCACCGCATCCGGCCTAGACTGTTGTTGAAGCTGGTTTTCTTCTTCTTTCCTCAGTTCTTTTCTTTTACATCTTCCCCCCATCATTGCTCTGCCCATCCGAAGGCTGTGGCTGGCACAGGACAGAACAGAACCTCCTAGCCTCAAGTTCCAAACCCACACTCTCCAATAGCCAGGCTCTCAGATGGGAAGCTTCAAAGCCTTGTGACAGCCTGGCTGAACCTCTCCAGCCTGGGCGCTCCCTCCATTTCCTGCCCCGGAAACAGGCATCTCCTCTGGCCACCTCCCAAAGCCTGTCTGGAAGCCTCAGGCACCCGCTCCTGGAAGCCTGTACGATTCACAACAAAGGGCCTGTCCACCCAGTCGTGCTGAGCACACCCCTATTCCCCCGAGCTCTGAATTGTCCTCTGCCCAGGCTAGGACAACATCTCAGAGCCTTCTGCCTGCTGCAGACTCGGCTCAGCCCAAATCACTCCATGAAACTGGGGTGTGGCATCTGCCTCAAGGAGCATTTCTACAACCTCTGCTGCCTCTACCACAAATGAAACTGGCTCTCACCCACTGGCTCTCGGTGACGGGCACAGTGCGGAGCCCCACAGGGAGTGTGTAGAAGTCAAAGGCCCCAGTGACTTCTGTGCAGTCAGCCGCACCTATGACAGCCAAAGCGCCAGGTGTGAGCGCCCCGACAGCCTGAGCCCCATCTGGCCTGCCCTACAGCAGGAAGACCCCTCGTGCATGCACCCCAGAAGTCGCCTCTGGGCCTGCAGAGAAGCAGCAATCAGAGGCTCTGCCCTTCACTGGCTGGCCCTGGGACCTGCCCTTCAAAATCAGGCCTTCTCCTTGACCAGACGAGGTGGCTCATGCCTGGAATCCCTACACTTTGGGAGGCTAAGGCAGGAGGATCACCTGAGTCCAGGAGTTCAAGACCAGCCTGGGCAACCTAGTAAGACCCCCAACTCTATAAAAAGGATTTTTTTTTTTTGAGACAGTCTCACTCTGTCACCCAGGATAGAGTGCAGTGGCATGATCTCAATTCACTGCAGCCCCTGCCTCCTGGGTTCAAGCAATTCCCCTGCCTCAGCCTCCCGAGTAGCTGGGATTACAGACGTGCACCATCATGCCCTGCAAATTTTCATATTTTAGTAGAGACGGGGTTTCACCATGTTGGCCAGGCTGGTCTCCAACTCCTGGCCTAAAGTGATCCGCCCGCGTCAGCCTCCCGAAGTGCTGGGATTACAGGCGTGAGCCACCATGCCCGGCCTACAAAAAAAATGTTTTTAATTAGCCAGGCATGGTGGCATGTGCCTGTAGTCCCAGCTACTCAGGAGGCCAAGGGAGGAGGATTGCAGCTCAAAGCTGCAGTGAGCTGTGATCAGGCCATTGCGTTCCAGCCTGGGTGACAGAGTGAGACCATCACAAATAAATAAATAAATAAATAAATAAATAAATAAATAAATAAAAAATCTGGGCCTCCCACCAAGGGTGGGAAACATCAGAAAGCTCAGAAAAGCTCAGAGGACCACACCTGCCCGTTCACCTGTCCTGGGCTCCTGCTGAAGCCAGGGCTACCAGATGGGAGCAAAAGACCTCCCTTAAGCAAGTCCCAAACCACCATTACCTCCCACGAGTACAGGTAGGCGGGGTGTTCGTGCATCAGGTACGGCCACCAGAGGTTGGCACCCAGCACCTTCAGCTGGCCCTGGGTCCCAGCCTGGTTGTCCACGACTTTGTTTTCTGATTTCAAAAGACACACTTCCAACTTGAACTGGTTACTGCACTTGACGGAGATCTGGTAATTCACCAGCCCTGCAGGAGGCAAGAGAGACCAGGGCTTAGGGAGGGACATGACCTGGGTCACACAAACAGGAATGCCCCACAATGACCACTCCCAGGCACTCTCATTTGCTTCTGTTGCTTTTTTTTTTTTTTTTTTTTTTTTTTGAGATAGAATCTCGCTCTGTCACCCAGGCTGGAGTGCAGTGGCATGATCTGGACTCACTGAAACCTCTGCCTCCCAGGTTCAAGTGATTCTCCTGCCTCAGCCTCTGGAATAGCTGGGATTACAGGCACCTGCCACCACATCCAGCTAATTTTTGTATTGTTAGTAGAGACCGGGTTTCACCACATTAGCCAGGATGGTCTTGATCTCCTGACCTCGTGATCCGCCTGCCTCGGCCTCCCAAAGTGCTGGGATTACAGGCTTGAGCCACCGTGCCCGGCCCTGAACCAATGCGCCCGGCCCGCTTTTTTTTAATTTAATTTTTTAATTTTTTTTTTTTTTGAGATGGAGTCTCACTCTGTCACCCAGGCTGGAGTGTAGTGCTGCGATCCTGACTCACTGCAACCTCCACCTCTGGAGTTCAGGTGATTCTCCTGCCTCAGCCTTCCGAGTACCTGGGAATACAGGAATGCACCACCATGCCCGGCGAATTTTTGTATTTTTAGTAGAGACGGAGTTTTGCCATGTTGGCCAGGCTGGTCTCGAACTCCTGATCTCAGGTGACCCACCCGCCTCAGTCTCCCAATAGATTAGATATATTATTAACGAATTGCTTCCTTTAACACGCTATTCATTGAATTTTCCAGTAAACCACAATTACTAATTACTCCTGAAATCAGAAAAGAGGTTAAAAAGATTTTATAACAGTATCTTATGAAATCTACTACTTTCAAGTAATAGTAGTTGAATTACCAAAACCCGTCACTCAAGCCAATGACTACAATTAAGATATCAGTAATATTTCCTAGATAAATAAAGTCAATTAATTATATTTGCATCTGGGAAATAGAGAAAGTACATATAAGCCATGATTTTGAAGTCAAAAGAGAGAGAATATTTGGCAAGGAGGGGTGAGTTATAGTATGTAATTATAACATATAGTAGTTTTTTGTATGCTGGTAACTAATTTTAATTTCCTACATTTTTATGTAGATTTCTGCTATTCTTGTCCTATTTTCCTAATCACCTTTCTATATGGATGACTACATAAGTCTGAGAATACCAAAAGAGACAGACACAGAACCAATCGGATTCCTTTCTTCTTGAAGCTTCTGCACAGCAGAAGAAACTATCAACAGAGTGAACAGACAACCTACAGAATAGGAGAAAATTGTTGCAACAATGCATGTGACAAAGATCTAATGTCCAACACTGATAAGGAACTTAAACAAATTTACAAGAAAAAAAAAATCTCATTAGAAAGTGGGCAAAGGACATAAACAGACACTTCAAAAGAAGACACACATGCGGCCAACAAGCATATGAAAAAAAGCCCAATATCACTGATCATTAGAGAAATGCAAATCAAAACCACAATGGCATACCATCTCACACCAGTCAGAATGGTTATTATTAAAAAGTCAACGCCGGGCATGGTGGCTCACGCCTATAATCCCAGCACTTCAGGAGGCCAAGGCAGGCAGATAGCATGAGGTCAGGAGTTCCAGACCAGCCTGGACAACCTGGCGAAATCCCGTCTCTACTAAAAATACAAAAATTAGCCCAGCGTGGTGGCGGGCGCCTGTAATCCCAGCTACTCAGGATGCTGAGGCAGGAGAATCGCTTGAACCCGGGAGGCAGAGGTTGTAGTGAGCCGCGATCATGCCACTGCACTCTCCAGCTTAGGTGACAGAGCGAGACTCTGTCTCAAAAAAAAAAAAAAAAAAAAATATTTGAATTTTGTTTAAATCGCTAACACATACTGGGCATTTAATAACAAAAAAAAGGACATGAGATTGTGATCCTTAGGAGGGTTTGAGAGGCATTTCACTAGGGTTCAACATAGAGCAGTCTGAAACATACTGTAATAATTTAATCCAATGGCTCATCTACAGCACCTAAAAATATTACAGCAGATTCTCATTATTCAGTGTAGTTACGGTCTAGAAAGTTCCATGAACAAATAAAAAGTTAGGTTTCAGCAAGCTACTGGTCACATTTTTGTAAGCTTACCAACACCTACTTTTGTTGTATGTGTGCTTATTTAATATATATTGTTGGCCAGGCACAGTGGCTAATGCCTGTAATCCCAGCACTTTGGGAAGCCAAGGCGGGCAGATCATTTGAGGTCTGGAGCTCGAGACCAGCCTGGCCAACGTGGTGAAACCCCGTCTCTACTAAAACTACAAAATATATATATATATATATATATATATATATTAGCCAGGCATGGTGGCGCATGCCTGTAGACTTAGCTACTTGGGAGGCTAAGGCAGGGGAATCGCTTGAACCCAGGAGGCAGAGGTTGCAGTGAGCCAAGACTGCACCACTGCACTCCAGCCTGAGCAACAGAGTGAGACTCTATCTCAAAAAAAATAATAATAATTAATTAAATGAAGAATAAATAAATAATATACATTGTTCATTCATTAACACTGAACTCACAGCCAATGGCACTACAGCACTCACGCCTGAATGGAGTTTATTCAATGCATGTATTTCCTCTGTAAGACACATCACAGACTTCTTGGACTTGTGAATGCTAAGCAGCACTTCAGCACTATGCTTGGGGGTTAATTTAAATGGCAAAACAACCAACAAACAGTACAAAAACAGGAAAAGCATGGCATTAAATAGACCACAAAAAGGATACCTGACTATTGTATGAGAGCTGAAAAAGAAGGCAGAATATCATCCTGTTCAAACTCAAATTCTTTGACACTCTGCGCAAACACATGACTATGAAAGTGCTGTGAGTACTGATTTGGGGGTTACAAAAAATAGTAGGTGAGTTCACAAATACAAAAGCTGAAAACAAGGAGGATCGACTGTATTTTCGTAGACAATCTAATCTCAGAAGATTTCAATTCAGACAAAAATCATGAGAATTACTGTATTACAAAAGGGCACTAGATAGGGGGAAAAGAGTAAAAATCACAATTAAAACAAAGGTTCAAAATTCTGCAGCAACCATATCCAGTTACACTTTAATATGTTTGTGGCAGACTACATTATTGTTCCCAACTCATCACCCCTCCCTATATCTAAAACCTTTCCCCAAGACAATGCAGTTCCTCCTGCTAGAGATCAGGTATATTTATCTATACTATCAATGTTAGCCATGGACAAGGTATGTGCTTTGGCTGACTGAATGTTAGTGGACATGATAGAAGCAATGGCTTAAAATGTACTTCCAGAACTGGAGTTTCCTTGTGATTCTATCACTGTGACAAAAACACATTCTCAGGTAGTCCACTGATCCAAGGGGGAACAAACACACAGAAATCATACCTAGACTCTATCTGCAGCTTGCAGCCTCACCAAGCCAAGAACAGTCAACTCATGGATATGTTAGCAAAAATAAATGTTTTTCGTACCTTAAGTTTTATATAATTATTGACCTATAGTTAACTGATATACAATATACATTAATCTTAAAATATCATTATCCCATTAAAAATATTTACATTAAAAACTGAGACCACTTTCTTTCCTCCTTTTTTTTTTTTTTTTTTTTTTTTTTTTTAAATTAAGAGACAGGGTGTCTCAGTGTTGCCCAAGCTGGAGTTCAGTGGCTAGTGGCTATTCACAAGAACGATCATCGCACACTACCTCAAACTCCTGGGATCAAGCAATCCTCCTGCCTCAGCTTTCCAAGTCGCTGGGACTATAAGTGTGTACCACAGCATGTCAGCTCTCTCTCTCCTTCTTGACCTAAAGCCTAGCATAAAATTAGCTAAGTAGAATGTTTCCAAAGATGCCTGCATCAGTATCTCCCGTCCCACATAATTTCTGCTTGATTTTGCCATTCACCCATAAAATGGTGGGATCTACCTCCCCTCCTTGCAAATTTGAGCTGGCCCTCTGATCCTGTCTAAGATCTGAAGCCAGATATTAAGGTACTTCATTAATTTCCATGTTTGTCCTCCATGCAACCTAGCAATCAAGCCAGAAGTCAAAACATACTGACATAGTTTGGATGGGTCCCCACCTAAATCTCACCTTGCATTGTAATAATTCCCACGTGTCAAGGGTGGGGCCAGGTGCAGATAACTGAATCATGGGGATGGTTCCCCCCATACTGTTCTCGTGGTAGTGACTAAGTCTCATGAGATCTGATGGTTTTATAAATGGGAGCTCCCCTGCACATGCTCTCTCCTGCCTGCCACTATGTGAGACATGCTTTTGCACCTCCTTGCCTTCCACCATGATTGTGAGGCCTCCCCAGCCATGCAGAACTGTGAGTCAATTCAACCTCTTTCCTTTATAAATTACCCAGTCTCAGGTATGTCTTTATTTGCAGTGTGAGAACAGACTAATACAATAAGTTGATACCAGTAGAGTGGGGTGCTGCTGTAAAGATACCCGAACATGTGGAAGCAACTTTGGAAATGGGTAACAGGGAGAGGCTGGAACAGTTTGGAAGGCTCAGAAGAGGATAGGAAAATGTGGGAAAGTTTGGAACTTCCTAGAGACTTGTTGAATGGCTTTGACCAAAATGTTAATAGTGATATGGACAATAAGGTCCAGGCGGAGGTGGTCTCAGAGGGAGATGAGGAATTTGTTGGGAAATGGAGTAAAGTCACTCTTACTATGCAAAGACACTGCAGGCACTGTGCACCTGTGTTAGAAACGGGCATAAGATAGGCGGGAAAGAGTGAAAATAAGAATTTTTTTCTAGAGTTCCCTAGAGATCTGTGGAACTTTGAACTTGAGAGAGATGATTTAAGGTATCTGACAGAAGAAATTTCTAAGCAGCAAAGCATTCGAGAAGAAGCAGAGCATAAAAGTTCAGAAAATTTGTAGCCTGATGATGCAACAGAAAAGAAAAATCTATTTTCTCAGGAGACTGGGTTGTAGAAATTTGCATAAGTAATGAGGAGCCAAATGTTAATCACCAAGACAATGGGGCAAATGTCTCCAGGGCATGTTAGAGACCCTCACAGCAGACCCTCCCATCACAGGCCAGGAGGCTTAGAAGGAAAAATGCTCTTGTGAGTCCAGAACCCCCTGCTGTGTGCAGCCTAGGAACCTGGTGCCCTGCATCCCAGCTGCTCCTGCCATAGGTAAAAGGGGCCAAGGTACACCTCAGGCCATGGCTTCAGAGGGTGCAAGTTCCAAGCCTTTCAGGTTCTAGGTGGTGTTAAGCCTGCAGATGCACCGAAGTCAAGAATTAACGTTCATGAACCTCCGCCTAGATTTCAGAAGATGTATGAAAATGCCTGGAAATCCAGGCAAAAGTTTGCTGTGCGGGGCAGCGGGGGGCCCTCATGGATAACCTCTGCTAGGGCAGTGTCAAAGGGAAATATGGGGTTGGAGCCCCCACACAGAGTCCCCACTGGGGTACTGCCAAGCAGAGCTGTCACAAAAGGGCCACCATCCTCCAGACCCCAGAATGGTAGATCCACTGACAGCTTGCACTGTGTGCCTGGAAAAGCTGCAGACACTCAATGCAGCCAGAAGGGGGGGCTGTACCCTGCAAAGCCACAGGGGCGGGGCTGCCCAAGACCCTGGGAACCCACTTCTTGCATCACCTAGATGTGACACATGGAGTCAAAGGAGGTCATTTTGGAGCTCTAAGATTTGCCTGCTGGGTTTTGGACTTGCATGGGGCCTGTAGCTCTTTCGCTTTGGCCAATTTCTCCCGTTTGAAACGGGTGTATTTACCCAATGCCTGTATCCCTGTGTATCTAGAAAATAACTAACTTGCTTTTGGTTTTACAGGCTCACAGGTGGAAGGGACTTGCCTTGTCTCAGATGAGACTTTGGACTATGGAATTTTGAGTTAATGCTGAAATAAGAGTTTGGGGGACTTAGGGGAAGGCACGATTGCTTTTGAAATATGAGGACATGAGATTTGGGAGGGGCCGGGGAAGAATTATATGGTTTGGCTCTGTCCCCACCCAAATCTCATCTTGAATTGTAACAATTCCCATGTGTCAAGGGTGGGGCCAGGTGGAGATAACTGAATCATGGAGGCAGTTTCCCCCATGCTGTTCTCATGGTAGTGAATAAGTCTCATGAGGTCTGATGGTTTTATAAATGGATGTTCCCCTGCACATGCTCTCTCCTGCCCACCATGTCTGACTAAATTTTGTATTTTTACTAGAGACGGGGTTTCACTATGTTGGCCAGGCTGGCCTCCAACTCCTGATCTCGTGATCCGTCCACCCCGACCTCCCAAAGTGCTAGGATTATAGGCATAAGCCACCACACCCGGCCTCTTTTTTTTCTTTTTCTTTTTTTTATCTGGAGACTGAGTTTTGCACTCGTTGCCCAGGCTGGAGTGCAATGGTGCGATCTCAGCTCACTGCAGTCTCCACCTCAGCAGGAGAGCAGGAATCTTCAGTGATCCACGGGCAGATCTGCAGCCATTGTGGGCACCTGTTCCTCCCGCGACCTTTGTGCCCACGTCTCTCCCTCCAGTACCTATTGCACGACCCCCCCCACGTCCGCCTCCTGCCATTGCCAGCAAGTGCCTTGCGCGGGTACCTGGCTGCGCTTATTAA
The DNA here is from genome assembly GCF_000001405.40 of Homo sapiens. Lineage (NCBI taxonomy): Eukaryota > Metazoa > Chordata > Mammalia > Primates > Hominidae > Homo > Homo sapiens. The sequence goes on along the minus strand of NC_000005.10, from coordinate 21,484,678 downwards.
TCCATTATGGTCGCTCTGTCACTGGTGCCATTATGTGCTCACATGCCCACTCCCTCAGGTTTAGAAGTCGCGTCGCCCGGCAACAGAACAATCTGCTGGCTTAGCCTTTGGCCAAGTTGGCAGCTGGACGAGGACGCTCAGAGCCCAGCTCTCGAGAGTTCAAGTATCCGACAGTTCCCCACTGCTCCCAGGAGCGGTTACCCGGGCACTCTGTGCCCCTCATTCCTGTTTGGGCCAAGGCCGAGGACCTGCGAGTAGGGCTCAGTTGCCTAGAGCCCCTTCAGCCCATCGCCCAGTTCACTTTGCTTGTGGGATCTCCCCGTTGCTCCTGCCCCTGGACTGAGTGGCAGGCCATCCTACAAACACCCGGACACTCAACATCAGTGGTGTCAAGACAACTCTAAGAAGGTTTTCCGTGATCCTGCAAGACCTGTGTTCCATCCTGGTGATTCTGTCTCCAATTTCACTGCACAGGTACCACAGTAAGCCAGTGCTGTGTGCTCCGAATTCCAGGGCATCCCCCAGCTCAGCCACTACACTGAGCACAAGGACTCTGTGGGGCCCAGGAGCAGGTAGTCACCCCTTTGGGGTCCTCAACACCCGGCTGTCCCCAGACTTGTGTCCAGGGAAGATAGTGTTGAGGGCCCTCAAGGAGAGCAGGGCAGGGATGCCTGAGCAGGACAAGGACCCCAGAGTCCAAGAAAATCCTGCTGATCAGAGAACGGTCCCCGAGGTCACCGGGGATGCACGGTCTGCATTTTGGCCCCTGCGGGACAATGGAGGCCTCTCTCCCTTTGTGCCCAGGCCCGGGCCTCTGCAGACAGACCTCGATGCCCAGAGCTCAGAAATCAGATATAACCAGACATCCCAGACATCCTGGACGAGCTCGAGCACAAAACGAAATGCCATCTCCAGCTCCTACAGCTCCACGGGAGGCTTGCCGGGGCTAAAGCAGAGGAGGGGACCAGCCTCATCCCGCTGCCAGCTGACCCTCAGTTACTCAAAGACAGTGAGTGAGGACAGGCCTCAGGCTGTCTCTTCGGGTCACACACGGTGTGAAAAGGCGGCAGATACAGCACCAGGGCAGACACTCGCCCCAAGGGGTGGCTCCCCCAGATCCCAGGCCTCTAGGCCCCGTAGACGCAAGATTCCCCTGCTGCCAAGCAGGCGAGGGGAGCCTTTGATGCTGCCACCTCCCTTAGAGCTGGGGTACCGGGTCACGGCGGAAGACCTGCACCTGGAAAAACAGGCAGCATTCCAGCGCATCAACAGTGCACTGCACGTTGAGGACAAGGCCATCTCGGACTGCAGACCCTCACGGCCTTCCCACACTTTGTCCTCACTTGCAACAGGGGCTTCGGGTGGGCCTCCCCTTTCTAAAGCACCCACTATGGATGCACAGCAGGACAGACCCAAGTCCCAAGACTGCCTGGGCCTAGTGGCCCCCCTAGCATCTGCTGCAGAGGTCTCCTCTACAGCTCCCGTGTCTGGGAAGAAGCAGAGACCACCAGGACCCCTGTTCTCCTCCTCAGATACCCTTCCTGCCACCTCTTCCCACTCCCGGGACTCAGCCCAGGTCACCTCGATGATTCCTGCCCCCTTCACAGCTGCAAGCAGGGATGCCGGCATGAGAAGAACAAGGTCGGCCCCTGCAGCTGCCGCAGCAGCCCCTCCCCCCTCCACATTGAACCCCACGTCGGGGTCACTACTCAATGCAGTGGATGGAGGCCCCTCACATTTCTTGGCCTCAGCCACAGCTGCAGCACGTGCCCAGAGGTCAGAAGTGAGATATAACCAGAGATCCCAGACCACCCGGACCAGATCCTGCCTCAAACGAAATGCCAGCTCCAGCTCCCACAGCTCTACGGAAGGCCTCCCGGAACTAAAGCGGAGGAGGGGGCCAGCCTCAGCCCACTGCCAGCTGGCCCACAGTTCCTCAAAGACAGTGAGTGAGGACGGAGCTCAGGCTGTCTCTACGGGTCACCGCTGTGAAAAGAAGGCAGACACAGCACCAGGGCAGACACTCGCCCCCAGGGGTGGCTCCCCCAGATCCCAGGCCTCTAGGCCCCACATCAACAGTGCACTGCACGTTGAGGACAAGGCCATCTCGGACTGCAGACCCTCACGGCCTTCCCACACTTTGTCCTCACTTGCAACAGGGGCTTCGCGTGGGCCTCCCGTTTCTAAAGCACCCACTATGGATGCACAGCAGGACAGACCCAAGTCCCAAGACTGCCTGGGCCTAGTGGCCCCCCTAGCATCTGCTGCAGAGGTCCCCTCTACAGCTCCCGTGTCTGGGAAGAAGCACAGACCACCAGGACCCCTGTTCTCCTCCTCAGATCCCCTTCCTGCCACCTCTTCCCACTCCCGGGACTCAGCCCAGGTCACCTCGCTGATTCCTGCCCCCTTCACAGCTGCAAGCAGGGATGCCAGCATGAGAAGAACAAGGCCTGGCACCTCCGCTCCTGCAGCTGCAGCAGCAGCCCCTCCCCCCTCCACATTGAACCCCACGTCGGGGTCACTACTCAATGCAGTGAATGGAGGCCCCTCACATTTCTTGGCCTCAGCCACAGCTGCAGCACGTGCCCAGAGGTCAGAAGTGAGATATAACCAGAGATCCCAGACCTCCCGGACCAGATCCTGCCTCCAAGGAAATGCCAGCTCCAGCTCCCACAGTTCTACGGAAGGCCTCCCGGAACTAAAGCGGAGGAGGGGGCCAGCCTCATGCCACTGCCAGCTGGCCCTCAGTTCCTCAAACACAGTGAGTGAGGACGGACCTCAGGCTGTCTCTTCGGGTCACACCCGCTGTCAAAAGGCAGATACAGCACCAGGGCAGACACTCGCCCCCAGGGGTGGCTCCCCCAGATCCCAGGCCTCTAGGCCCCACATCAACAGTGCACTGCACGTTGAGGGCAAGGCCATCTCGGACTGCAGACCCTCACGGCCTTCCCACACTTTGTCCTCACTTGCAACGGGGGCTTCGCGTGGGCCTCCCCTTTCTAAAGCACCCACTATGGATGCACAGCAGGACAGACCCAAGTCCCAAGACTGCCTAGGCCTAGTGGCCCCCCTAGCATCTGCTGCAGAGGTCTCCTCTACAGCTCCCGTGTCTGGGAAGAAGCACAGACCACCAGGACCCCTGTTCTCCTCCTCAGATCCCCTTCCTGCCACCTCTTCCCACTCCGGGGACTCAGCCCAGGACACCTCGCTGATTCCTGCCCCCCTCACACCTGCAAGCAGGGATGCCGGCGTGAGAAGAATGTTTTGTGTTCGAAATTGTTTGAGGGGTTTGGGTTTATTTTTGTTGGTTTTTTCTTTTTTGTTTTTGCTTACATGGGCATCCTTCAGCTTTTAATAATCTGAAAAGCTCTATTTACCCATTGTCAATGTGTATAAATTAATCTGAGTCAATTTTATACAATAAAAGGTGAACTTTTATGCATGAAACAATAATTTAACAAAAAATGTACCGGAAGAAGAATGTTCATTACAAATATAGGAAACATAAATATTACCAAATATTGGCAAGCACTAAAATGTTCAGAAATATAAGTCTACTACAGTTATAGCTCTCTCAAGCAAAAAAATAGCAGAGAAAAACTTAGTTTACCTTAGGGGCTATTTATTTACTTAGGGATTTGTTAAAAGGTCAAATGGGGTCACACAGAATACTAAGAAGAGCTGTTCACCCAGGCCTCACTAAGAACTCTTCTTCATTCAGTAGCTATATAGTAACATGACAACTGCTCCTACGACCCAAAGAGGAACTACAGCAACTACTCTTCAGCATCTGTTGCTCCCAACTCTGCTTTGCAATTATATGACTCAAGCATTCTGGCTCCGTTAACTATTACTGCTGTTACTCCCAATTAAATTCCCTCTAAAAAATAAAAATTTTTAAAGCTCTAATTTAAGCTCTCTGCTGCCTCATGACTTCAATTCCATCAGAGTTATGCATTGTTTCCTCTGTACATCTTTGCTCTGCTTCCATTGCTAATTCCCTAGTAAAGTGTTGTATATTCAAAGTTCCAAAGAAACAGAATATCCAAGACATCACCAATCATCCAAAACACAGTGTAGGAGGCCACAGTTAAGAGAAGCAAGACCATTAGCTCTTTTTATAGGCTCGAGAACAACAGGATGCTTTGGTCCTGTATCAGCAGGACGCTTTTCGGGTAGATCCTACTGCCACCCTAGCTATGGGCACATGTCAGAGTCCCATGTAATAAAGGAGACAAAAGGAAACCACCACGAGTATAAACTAAGAAAAGTACTCCAAGGTTTCTAAGGATGGAGCTGTATAACTCACTTTGCCCCATTTGTTACTTCTCCACGGTACTTACCACCACCTATTACATATATTTTGTTTATAGTCAGTCTTCCCTCATTACAATGAAAGTTCCGTGAGGATAGGACTAGACAGTCAGCCCTCAGTATCCATGGAGGACTAGTTTCAGGATCTCCTGAGGATAACAAAGGATACTCAAGTCCCTGATATAAAATGACATAGTATTTGCACATCACCTTTGCACATCCTCCCATATACTTCATATCAACTCTAGATCACTCATAATATCCGATGTAAATGTCATGCAAATAGTTATTGTACTATATTGTGTAAGGAATAAGGACAAGAAAAAAGTCTGTACATGTTCAGTACAGACGCAATTTTTTTTCCCAATATTTCCAATCTTTGGTTGGCTTAACAGATGTAGAACCCAGGAATAAGTTCTGGTGTCCTATTGCATAGTAGGATGAGTATAGTTAACAATAACATATTATATATTTGAAAATAGCCAGAAGAGTAGATTTTGAATTTTCTCCCTACAGAAAAATCATTATGCAAATTACCCTGATTTGATCATTACACATTGAGTACATGTATTAAAACATCACATTGTACCCCATATATATGTACAATTATTATGTGTCAATAAAAATTTAATGTCAATATGTGAAATAAAATGAAAAAATAAAAATTTTTAAAGCTGTAATTATCTCCATCTGGTAGGAATATATATAATCTGAAATAAAAAATATATTTGTAATTGTTAGGACAAAATAGATTATACATTAAGTCTGCAAATTATAAATTATAAAATTCTCACAGAAACTGAAAAATTATTGATACTGTTAAATATTTAAAAAGCTGTCCTTGGAGAGAAAGAAACCTATCAGATTTACATCAACAAGTGTAATATATCAGCCTATTACCATCTGCTACAGACTGCATGATTGTGTTCCCTCAAAATTCATATGATAGGCCAGGCGCGGTGGCTCATGCCTGTAATCCCAGCACTTTGGGAGGCCGAGGTGGGTGGATCACGAGGTCAGGAGATCGAGATCATCCTGGCTAACATGGTAAAACCCCGTCTCTACTAAAAATACAAAAAAATTAGCCGGGCGCAGTGGCGGGCGCCTTAGTCCCAGCTACTGAGGAGGCTGACGCAGGAGAATGGCGTGAACCCAGGAGGCGGAGCTTGTAGAGAGCCGAGATTGTGCCACTGCACTCCAGCCTGGGTGACAGACAGAGCGAGACTCTGTCTCAAAAAAAAAAAAAAAAAAAAAAAAAAAAATTCATATGATAAAGCCCTAACCCCCAAGGTGAGGATACTGGGAGGCGTGGCCTTTAGGAGAGAATTACGTTTAGATGAGGTCATGAGAATAGAGCCCCTATGGTGGCATTACTTCCTTTATAAGAAGAGACACTAGAGCTGCTTTTCTCCCTACCATGTGAGGATACTGAGAGAAGATGGCCATTTCCAATCTAGGAAGCAGGCCCTCTTTAAGAAACGTAATTTGCCAACACTTTGATCTTGCACTTCCAGTCTCCACAACTGTGAGAAATATCTGTTTTTTTTGTTTGTTTGTTTTTGTTTTTTTTTTGAGACAGAGTCTCATTCTGTCATCCAGGCTGGAGTACAGTGGTGCGATCATGGCTCACTGCAACCTCCGCCTCCCAGGTTCAAGCAATTCTCCCACCTCAGCCTCCCAAGTAGCTCAGACTACAGGCGTGCACCACCATGCCCAGCTAATTTTCGTAGAGACAAGGTTTTGCCATGCTGCCCAGGCTAGTCTCAAACTCCTGAGCTCAAGTTATCCACCTGCCTCGGCCTCCCAAAGTGTTAGGAATACAGGCATAAGCCACCACGCCGGGTCAAAATATCTACTGTTTAAGCTACCTAATTTATGGTATTCTGTTTTAGCAGCTGAAGCAGACTAAGATACCATCCTATAAGCTACAGACCAGCACTATCCAATAGAACTTTATATGACGAGGAAATGTTTTATATCTGTGCTATCCCTTATGTTAGCCACTAGTCACATGTATCCATCAAGTATTTGAAATATGGCTAGTGCAACTAAAGAACTTAATTTTTAATTTTTTTTTTTTTTTTTTTTTTTTGAGATGGAGTCTCGCTCTGTCCCCCAGGCTGGAGTGCAGTGGCGCCATCTCGGCTCACTGCAAACTCTGCCTCCCAGGTTCACGCCATTCTCCTGCCTCAGCCTCCTGAGTAGCTGGGACTGCAGGCGCCCGCCACCACGCCTGGCTAATTTTTTGTATTTTTAATAGAGATGAGATCTCACCGTCTTAGTAAGGATGGTCTCGATCTCCTGACCTCATGATCTGCCCGCCTCGGCCTCCCAAAGTGCTGGGATTACAGGCGTGAGCCACCACGCCTGGCCAATTTTTATTTTATCGTATTTATATAACCATATGTGGCTAGTGGCTAATGTATTGAACACTACAGCTGTAGACAATATGAAATAAATATAAAGCAGTCTCAACTTTGGAAAAACAGAAGACTCTTACTGCCTCATAATATGGATGAAAAATGAAATACTAAGATAAGTAAAATGTTCTTTAAAGAACAAAAACAAAAGAAAACCTAATGAAAGCTATAAAAGTCCATTGGATAATAATGCTACCAGCACTAAGGAAGTACAGCCCCTAAAAGTGACTTGCAGTCACAAATATAAAAATGACTATTCAAGTGAACTCTTAAGGTAAAAATTTGTTATTCACCATGCTCCAAAATGGTCTGTAATATTCTTCAGAGATGGCATGGTAAAGTACGATACAAGGGTAATATTAACAGTATGCTGTCACAGGTGCCATTCTCCTAAAAAAGAAATCCCAAAATAAATATAAATGGAAAGCAAATAATTAAATACACTAAATACAGATTATTACAAAAATCCATAAGGAATTCTGGTGGAGAAACAACTTAATAATCAAAATCCCAAATATAAAATTTATCTATCAAAAATGAAAATGCTGACAGTTTCTTGCAAAAAAATTTTTATAAATTTTTTTAATATAAATAAATAAGAACATCTTTTTAAACAAAATCTTAGGCTGTTGAGTCCCGTTTATTTTCTACACCTCTAATTCCAAAGCTGAGAAACAAATGGATACTTCAGAAAAGAAAATAAATAACTCATGACAATTTGTCTTTTGGACACAGAATATAAAGGAAAAATAAAATTTATGTCTATCTGGCCAGACCTCAATTGAATTTTTCATCCTAGCTGGTTCCTAAATCCAAATCAGATACTTATCAATAAAACTGTTTTTCTGCACAGCTACTACTAGCTAGAAACCGCTTCTCCAAATTTATACTGACCATTTCTTCTAAAATATTGAAATTCTAGCTGATAGTTTTTAAAAAACCATTCCTAATGTACTGATTCCAGAGTACTAATTCCAATGGCCAAGAAAATTCTAAAAGATTTGGAGTGGTCTCTGAGATTAGAATGTGTGACAATGTGAAGCATTTCACTACAATGTCCAAGATTAAAGTGTCAAAGCAGATGAGGAAATGAAGCTCCCAAAACAGATGCCCATGAGAAAGGAGCCCAGAAAAGCAAAAGGGGCCACAGCCCAGGACCTTACAATAAAGAAAAGTGGCTCTGGCCCCACGGTATCCTTCCTGAAACACTGGGAAAAATTGAAGTCCTCAGCAAAATTCTGACCAGGATCCCAAATTTAAATGTAAGCTTGTAAGGAAAACACCTATGGACTTGTGTTTAATTTGTCCATCTAAGATATAAAATTACAAGTTTGACCAAATGTGCCAGTTGTCCACTTATTGTCTCTCAGCTCCGAATTCAACCTTTCATGTCTGCTCTGCAGAAATGAACTTGGACCCTTTAAACATTTTTCCTTTGCTAGCTGGCATGATGTTAGATTGACATTGTAAGAGGAGATTTTCCTCTTCTTTCCAAGAGTCTTGTGTGCTCCTCTTGGCAGGCTTCTGTACTGCAACACAGCTTCTCCAGTGTCCAGATCCAGAACCCATGCAGTTTGCTCCATTGTCAGGCCCCTGAAGTGCACAGCAGTCAGCAGCACCGAGTATCTTCCACCAGTACCTCCACAAGGCAGTATTATAGCAGAGTGATTCTGATGAGACAGATTTCTACCACAGCAACTTCTCTTCATTCAGTGAGCGACAGCCATGCCCCCTCAAACAGAGTCTGGATCTTAATCCCAGAGGCCCTGGACGTTGTATCTCAACCCCAGGGGTTGATGCTCCTTTTATCTGTTATTCTTATATTCCTTAGAGTTCTCTTTACTTTTTACTAGCCAATCCTTATTGCTCCAAAACCCTGTTATAGCTAGCAATTCTTCGTATTAATCTTTCCTTGTTCAAATTACATGTGATTTCTCTATTCTAATCAAACACTGACTGACACATCAAATTTCAGGCAATTAATCAAACTGAGAAAATTATAGGGCATTATGTCTAATTTGTTATTTTATATATTAGCAAACACATAAGATCTGATAATCAGAAAGTTCAGAGCGCTAAACCAAAGTCTCTAAAGAAACAATGGAAGGAATCAGTAACGGTCTTTGCTTTGACTTATTATTGTCTATTGGTTAGAATCTAACACAGCCATGTGAGGGTCCCTGGTATTATAACACACACAACACTGACAGCAATGCCCATGAATCTTATCTGGTGTTGACACAAAGGAACAATGCCCCGTGGACTTGGAAAGGACCGCAGCGCAAGCATCAGGGTGTCCTTGTATGACTGAATGACCTTCTTCCAAGGCTTCTGCGACCTCTTTCTGCACTCTGTCCCCATGCTGCTGCAGCCTCACTGTCTTGCTGGCTGTCTCATTGCATTAGAGAAATACATCTTTGACATATGCTCTGTATGTGTTTCTATGAAAGTCATATTTTTAACTTTTTAAAAATGATACTTGGACAGAAATTTGGCAAATATATATCAAGGTTCTCAAGTGAATATCTCTTCTCTGCAACAGGAATGTCGCTTCTAGAAATTTTCCCTCTGAATAGAATTAGATAGAAGTTGAGGCCAGGAGTGGTGGCTCATGCCTGTAATCCCAGCACTTTGGGAGGCCAAGGTGGGCGGATCATGAGGTCAGGAGATCGAGACTATCCTGGCTAACATGGTGAAACCCCGTCTCTACTAAAAACACAAAAAAAATTAGCCAGGTGTGGTGGCGGGCGCCTGTAATCCCAGCTACTCAGGAGGCTGAGGCAGGAGAATGGTGTGAACCTGGGAGGCGGAGCTTGCAGTGAGCCGAGATCATGCCACTGCACTCCAGCCTGGGCGACAGAGCAAGACTCTGTCTCAAAAAAAAAAAAAAAAAAAAAAAAAAAAAAGAAGTGAAGAGACATCAGCAAGGAAGTTCAGGTGGCTTTGTCTTACAATGATAGTTTAAAAAAAAATGCCATTGGTTCTCAACCTAGGGTGATTTTGTCCTCCAGGGGACATTTGGCAATGTCTAGTGACAGTGTTGATTACCACAGCTAAGGGGAAGGGATGTTTCTGGCATCCAGTGGGCAGAGACCAGAATGTGAAGCCACATCCTGCAGTGTCCAGGGCAGTGTCTCTGAAAAGGATGGGCTAACCCAAACTGCCCATGGTACCGAGGCTGAGAAACCCTCACTTAACGTACCACTCTAGGGATTAGGAGGAATAAATTAAAGTGGAATGTTTCACAACCATTTTAATTATGATTAAAAAAAAAACTATGATATTGTCCATGTATATTCATGTTTAAGAGTTATTGTTAGGTAAAAAAATTATAAAATTATATTTGTGGTGTTCATATGATCAGAAAAAATACATTAATTAAAATTTCATATGTAAAGAATATTACATCTTTCATGTTTTCCATAGAATGAATACATTTTTGTATGTATGTGTATATACACAGAGAGGGAGAAAGACAAAGTAGCACATAAATAAAAATACATACATTTTATTACCTATTACAGTATTTATTCTTCTACACACTTCTCAGTTCATGTATATACGGCAGCTTTCTTACGTCCTGCACGGATGCCTGAGGTTCCACCACTAAGGAGTCTTGTCTCTAAGTGAAGAAGTCATTAAAGCTGTTTATGTAAAGCCTGTGTCTTGGAGACAGGGCGTTATCTCTTTATCAGTCACATGCATTGGATATGAAATTGCCGATTGGATTGGCTGGCATGCCTGTCACTCAGCACCGCCCTGGGACCAGACAGCTTTGGTGACCGAGCTGGAGAGGGGCTCCAGAGCTGGACTGACCCTGAGAAGGCTCCACCTCAGAGCAGCACAGGGAGGAGATGAGGCCCCACTGGTTTCCCTGGGGCCAGGCCTCATGTCAAATTGCAGAAACAGCCTGAGGACAGAGCCATGGAGAGCCAAGGAGAGGGCAGGCTTGTCCATTCCAACTTCCATCTCTGCCTCTGACCCACATCTGTGGAATCAGGGCGGTGAACCAGAAGCCTCTGGAGTTTCTCAGTGCTCTGATCCCGTGAATTCCTCCTCTGTCCCCGCGATTTCACAATGAATGGATGCTTCCCATTCTCACCAAGTGCCTGTTGAAACTTTCCTCAGCCTGACAACTTTCTTCTGTTACTTTCAAATGATCACAGGCTCCCAGGAGGAAAGTTTAGGTAAACCTCTCTTCAAGTGCTGCATCCCAGAAGTCCCAAAGAACTGTCTACCTATGAGGCGCTCTCAGGACCCGGGACGTGTGATCACGGTATCTGGGGATCAGCCAGCGCTGCGCCCTGGGGAGGAGGTGGCGCCGGGTTACTGGCTCCGGGCTGCGTCCCCTCGTCTGGGTCTGTGCTGTTCCTGCACTTCATAACGTAATTTTCCTCTTATTCCTTAAGGCTCAACAAGTCTTCTACTGCTCTCAGTCACTTTATCCTGGGAGTCGGATGTTTGCCTGGTTTTTTAGTGCAGGTGAATACCTACCCAAAATTGCTATGTGATTTTCAAAATGCTAAATTCCGTAGATTCTTTGAGACCAGTGACTTTCACTCTTTCAATCCATTTCCATTGGGTTGAACTGTGAAGTATCATGGGGAGAGAAAAGGACACCTTTGTAAACAGCAAAAAAAAAAAAAAAAAAAAAAAACAAAACAAAACAAGAAAAACCTCCACAATGTCTTGAACTTCACAGACTTGTGCAAGGTTGGAGCCAGTGTTCTTAACCCTGGCACTATTGATGTTTTAGGCTGGACAATTCTTTGTGGTCAGAGACTGTCCTCCCTGTGGAAGAGTATTTAGCAACGTCCCTAGGCTATACCTACCAGATGCCTGTAGCTCTGCCCTTAACCCCCACTACAGGGTGAAAAGTCAAAAATGTAAAAATGTCATATCTAGGGCAACACAGGGATCCATGTGCCCCGTTGAGCCTTCACTGTGAAGGTGCAGAAGGAGCCCAGAGCTCGTCTCTCTTCTGTGGAGATGGATGCCTCCTCTTGGTGGCCTGCAAGAATGTGGTTGATCCCAGACCATACGTCTGAAGAGTCATCAGTCCCATTGAGCAGCAGACCATAGCTGGGATGGTTTATAAAAACTGGTCCAGTACATGCATGCAAGTGTTACAAGTGATCATGTTTGTGGTAGAAATTGTGATAATTAGGAATGATAATATGTTCTTTGTATTCATTCATGCAACCTAAATTGTCTATGTTTATTCGTTTAGTAATTTTTTAAAAGCTCAAGAAATGGAAGAAATGAGAGAGATGTTTCATGTACTCTTAGGTGATGTGGCCAACACACCCTAAGGTCACCCCTCCCCGGTGATCTATGTTTTGGATAATCCACTCCCCTGAGCATAAAGGGGCTTGTGACATAATTCTAGATAATAGAATACAGCAAATGTGATGGTTACATCTGATGTGAGATTCTGCCTTAGCAAGTGGGGGCAAGAGAGACTCCCTCTTGCTGACTTGTGTAAGAAGGGCTGCCGTCCGTCCTATAGGAAGGACTGTGAGAGGCCATGTGGCAGGAACCATGGCAGCCCCTGGATGCTGAGAGTGGTCCCCCGCTGATAGGTTTGGCTGTGTCTCCACCCAAATCTCATCTTGAATTGTAGCTCCCATATTTCCCACATGTTGTGGGAACTGGTGGAAGATAATTGATTCACGGGGGCAGTTTCCCCCATACTGTTCTCATGGTAGTGAATAAGTCTCATGAGATCTGATGGTTTTATAAGGGGAAACCCCTTTTGCTTGGCTCTCATTCTCTCTTGCCTGCTGCCATGTAAGGTGGGCCTTTTGCCTTCCACCATGATGGTGAGGCCTCCCCAGCCACATGGAACTGTGAGTCCATTAAATCTCTTTTTTTTTTTTAAATAAAGTACCCAGTCTCAGGTATGTCTTGATCACTAGTGTGAAAATAGACTAATACACCAGCTGACTACCCCCCAAAAACAGGAACTTCAGTCCTACAACCACCAACAACCTGAGAGAGCCTCTGACAGGACCACAGCCCTGATTGAGCCCTGATTGTAGCCTGCTGAGACTCAGAGTGGAGGCCACAGCTGGTCTATGCCTGAACTTCTGACCTACTGAGAGCGGAGGTAACTGGTGTGTGATGTTTCGAGTCACTAGGCTGTGGTCATTTGTTATGCAGCCGCAGGTAACAAACACAGACAGCTTCCCTCTCCTTTGAAAACACATCAGCCAAATGCCTTTCATTATTGCAGCCACCTCTAGGCTAAGAGAATGTGAACCCTTGAGTATTCAGTATCTGCCAGATCAGAACTTACAGGATATTGAGTGGGACATGCAGCCTGGAAGAGCTGGAAGCTGACCTGCCTTCCCACTCTGCCGCTCTGCCTTGATGGACTCCTATGGACACAAGCCAATGCCACACAGCACCAACACTGGACAGGGACACACTGTGATGGTGGGGGCGGGGGCAAGGCAAATCAATACCCCTCTGTAATCTGGCCTGGTCACAAACAAAAACAAGAACGTGGTCAATACCACAAATACGCCTAGGCAGCCCCCACCCCGGCTTATGTGAGCAGCTGCTGCTTTTACATCAATTGTAGCACCAGCCTCATTCCATTTCTCCCACCTTCCAGGACAATTAAGACATTCAACCACAGAATTACTCCCATTTCCAGACAGCACTCCATCTGAGCATGGCCTGTGTATCAGTCAGGGTTCTCTAAACGGACAGAACTAATAGGATAGATGTATATATGAAGGTGAGTTTATCAGGAGAATTGGCTCACATGATCACAAGGGGAAGTCTCACAATAGGCCGACTGCAAGCTGAGGAGCCAAGAAGCCAGTCTGAGTCCCAAACTTCAAAGGTAGGGAGGCTCACAGTGCAGCCTTCAGTCTGCGGCTAGAGGCCTGGGAGCCCCTGGCAAACCAATGGTGTAAGTCCAAGAGTCCAAAAAAAAAAAAAAAAAAAAAAAAAGCTGAAGAACTTGGAGTCTGACATTCGAGGGCAGGAAGCATCCAGCATGGGAGAAAGATGAAGGCTGGAACACTCAGCAAGTCTGCTCATTCCAACTTCTGCCTGCTTTATTTTAGCTGCTGTGGCAGCTGATTAGATGATGCCCACCCAGATTGAGGGTGGGTGTGCCTCTCCCAGTCCACTGATTAAAATGTTAATCTCCTTTGGCCACACTCTCACATATACACCCAGTAACAATCCTTTGCATCCTTCAATCCAATCAAGTTGACACTCAATATTAACCATCACAGCCTGTTTCCTTGACCCTCCCTAAGATCACCTTGTATAAGCCAAACCCTCCGAGTCTTTCCCAAGGCCCTTTCACTGCTGCTGCTGAGCTGCTGCTGGGTCCCAGTGGTGCACAGCCTTCCTTGTTGTGATGAGCCAGTTGATGGCCTCAACTTTGCTGGGCTACAGGTGTGTTCCTGGTGGCCTTTAGACGACATCATTGACAAGATTATGACCAAGATAATTTTGACGCATCCTAGTTTCAGCTTAAAATTTGGGAAAACATTCATTTAAAAATAACCCATACCAAGGTTTTCACAAAATACAATCAAAATCAGGGCATATTAGTAGGTAGCTCATATGTGTACCTGCTCGGTATGTGCTGTTGTCATTGATGTCTGGAATGAAGTAATGAATTAGAAAGTCTTCAAACGCCAAAGAATGATTTAATGAACTATATTTACATAGTGTATATAACACATATAACATAATTACTTTTTCCTAAAGGTAAGAAATTATAATTGTGCATTTTAGAAAGATTTGGTTAAAAGAGGAGGAGGTATGAGGATTTTATCATGATTCCCAATTTCACAAGCATTTCTGTAAATTAGGAGCCTACTGTACTACCTAGAAATGGTGAATGGGTTTTTAACTTCAATTCCATCCATCACATCCCATCTAAATGCTCTGAGGTGGTAACAACAAACTGTGTCCTAGATCTTCTTCAAGCTGAAATGCTTTGGGATGATCGCATGTTCCAACAATGCCCCCTGGAGGCCAGTTGGCCAGGGCCAGTGGACACTTGTCCCCACAGAAGCAGGTCTGTGCCACTTCTCAGCTGTCAGGATTTGGATTTCCACCCTGATCCAGCTGCTGAACTGTCCCTACCACGTGTCCCTCACCCACTACCAGCCAGTGACTCCTACCTCATGCAATTTCCGGTGCTCACCTCTTGCTGTCCCCCACCTGGCCCTATCGTAAGTTTGTGTCCATGTTGCATTCAGTGCATGAGACACTGAGAGTGGTCCCCAGCTGACAGCCACCCATGATTCATTGACAGAAGAGAAAGGGGACACAGGGAAGAAATCTGTTACACCAGCGAGACAGAAGCCGCCCCTTTACAAAGGTGCATGGTGGGAAAGGCAGAGACATTCCAGCTGTACTGCAAAAAGACCACATTTTGAAAGATGGTTTCAAGGCCAGGCATGGTGGCTTATGCCTGTAATTCCAGCACTTTGGGAGGCCGAGGCAGGTGGATCACGAGGTCAGGAGTTCGAGGCCAGCCTGGGCAACATGGTGAAACCCCATCTCTACTAAAAATGCACAAATTAGCCGGGCGTGGTGGCAGGTGCCTGTAGTCCCAGCTTACTCTGGAGGCTGAGGCAGGAGAATGGCATGAACCCGGGAGGCAGAACCTGCAGTGAGTGGAGATGGCGCCACTGCACTCCAGCCTGGGCAACAGAGCAAGACTCCGTCTCAAAAAAAAAAAAAAAAAAAAAAAGAAAATAATGGGCCTGAAGCCAGGCGTGATGGTTAACACCTGTAATCCTTGCACTTTGAGAGGCCGAGGCGGGTGGCTTGCATGAGCTCAGGAGTTCGAGAGCAGCCTGGGCAATATGGTGAAACCCTGTCTCTACTAAAATACAAAAAATTAGCCAGGTGTGGCGGTGTGCACCTGTAGTCCCAGCTACTCAGGACACTGAGGCAGGAGAATCGCTTGAACCCGGAAGGTAAAAAAAAAAAAAAAAAAAAAAAAAAAAAAAAAAAGAATGGGCCTGCTTAGCTCCTAGTTCACCCTGTTTTTTCAGCCAATTCCTCCAGACCTCGGGGGGTGGCAGCAGCATTTGTACTCTAGGCTCATCTTCTCCCTCAGGTCTTACAGTCAATTATATTACTAATCAGGAAAAGATATTGAGGCTGCCTACTCAGCTGCCATTTCCCTCTTTTTTACTATTATTTTTTTTAATAGACACGGGGTCTCACTATGTTGCCCAGGCTGGTCTTGAACTCCTGGGCTCAAGCAATCCTCCTGCCTCAAGATTTACAAATGTGAGCCACCACACCATGCCAGTCCTCCCTCTTTTTCCCTTAGTTTTTCTTTTTTTTTTTTTTTTTTGAAGAAGAGAAAAAAGTAACAGATTTATTTAATCCAAGTTTTATGTGACACAGGAGCCTTTGGACAAGAAGACCCAAAGACCCAGGGAAAACTGTCTATTTTTATGCTCAGGTTCAGTGAAGAATGGACAGGCATGTAAAAAGGTATCGGACAAAAAGGGAATGACCTGATGTCATAGACTGAGGGGGACACCCAGAAAGGCCTGTCCAGCCAGATTCTTCCTGGCCTCTCCGTGCTGCATTTCTTCCTCCAGGGTATAGGGCAGAACCCCTCCGGAATGAGGGTCTTATGACCCACAGTCAGATAAGGTAGGTCAGAGACTTTCTTTATGGCCAGCGCTTACACAGAAAGGCTGGGGAAAGTTCGAGTACTAGTTCTGGATTTTATGATTGGCTTTGGGAAAGAGCGGTTCTTAGTTACTATGACCCACCTTGGGGAAGAGGAGTTCTGGTTTTTTTTTTTTTTTTTAATTTTTTTTTTTAATTATACTTTAAGTTTTAGGGTACATGTGCACATTGTGCAGGTTAGTTACATATGTATACATGTGCCATGCTGGTGCGCTGCACCCACTAACGTGTCATCTAGCATTAGGTATATCTCCCAATGCTATCCCTCCCCCCTCCCCCGACCCCACCACAGTCCCCCAGAGTGTGATATTCCCCTTCCTGTGTCCATGTGATCTCATTGTTCAATTCCCACCTATGAGTGAGAATATGCGGTGTTTGGTTTTTTGTTCTTGCGATAGTTTACTGAGAATGATGGTTTCCAATTTCATCCATGTCCCTACAAAGGACATGAACTCATCATTTTTTATGGCTGCATAGTATTCCATGGTGTATATGTGCCACATTTTCTTAATCCAGTCTATCATTGTTGGACATTTGGGCTTTTTGTTTTTGTTTTGAGACAGAGTCTCACTCTGTCGCCAGGTGTCAGTGCAGTGGCACAATCTCAGCTCACTGCAACCTTCACCTCCTAGGTTCAAGCAATTCTCCTGCCTAAGCCTCCCGAGCAGCTGGGATTATAGACGCCAGTCACCATGCCCACCTAATTTTTGTATTTTTAGTAGAGATGGGGTTTCACCATGTTGGCCAGGCTGGTCTCCAACTCCTGGCCTCAAGCAATCCACCTGCCTCAGCCTCACAAAGTGTACTAGGATTACAGACATGAGCCACTGTCCCCAGCCTAGTATAACACTTCTAAAAAAAAAAAAAGTCTGTATTTCAGCTGGGCGCGGTGGCTCACGCCTGTAATCCCAACACTTTGGGAGGCTGCGGCAGGCAGATCACGAGGTCAGGAGTTCGAGACCGGCCTGGCCAGCATGGTGAAACCCCGTCTCTACTAGAAATACAACAAATTATCCGGGCATGGTGGTGCACGCCTGTAATCCCAGCTACTCAGGGGGCTGAGGAAGAATTCCTTGAACCTGGGAGGCGGAGGTTGCAGTGAGCTGAGATCGTCCCACTGCACTCTAGCCTAGGCGACAGAGAGAGACTCTGTCTCAAGAAAGAGAAAAAAAATCTGTATTTCATATGTCCTACACATACTTATAGCTTTCAAGAACATAAAAAACATTAAAAAAAATTTGTACCATTATCATTTCCAGACCCTTCACAGCACATATTTTATCGGGGTTTTATAGTAATTCATCCTTTCCACTAGTGCACTTAGCAACCAAGACAGCTCATACCCCCACATACAGACAAACTTGCTATTAAAAGGGTCAAAGTCTTAGTTTCCTCAAGTGTACTATGAATACCCAGGGAAAGACTCCAATACCAAGCATGAGATAAATAATGCCCATATGAGAATTTTCAACTTTTAAAGAAAAGTAAGTCAAACTGTCTCACGGTAGGAAACTAGGGTTCCCGCAACCCGTTCTCTCTCTCTTCAATTTCATAATTTGCTAGGAGAGCTCACAGGGAATCACTTTTAATTCCACAGTCTAAATGTAATCTAATTGCCAAGTCTGGAAGAACACTAAAAAAAAAAAAAAATCTCTTATGAGTAACTTCCCATATAATGATGAATACTACTTCCATAAATTATTCCAATGTTATTTTCTATTTACATGCTAAAGCTAAGTAGATCTTTCAAAGAGATAATCAATTTAGATTCATGTGTTTAGATCAGAGGTAGAAACTGCAGTCCAAAGATGTAATAGTAAATCAAGAAAGTTCAATAATTTGTCCACAAAAATCAAAGGAGATCATAGTCTTGAGACAATTTTTCAATAATTTAAAAATTTAATAACTCCCTAAGTTCCTCTTAGGTAAAATGTATACATGCTTTACTAAGAAAAATTGCAAGAATTTAAAATAATATTTATAAAGTACTTTGCTGTTTATAAGCTACTACACCCAAAATCTTAATCTCTTCAAGAAACGTCCAAGGTAGATGATACACACACAACAGGGTTATGAAGGATCAGAAATTGGAAAACCCATCCAATGTTCCTCATCTAGTAGACTGTGGGGCTGGGCCTTAAACCTAGGTCCCCCAATTCCAAATCCCAAGCTCTTTCCAACAGATTGTGCCCATTTTTTTTTTTTTAGACAGAGTTTTGCTCTCGTCGCCCAGGCTGGAGTGCAATGGCACGATCTAGGCTCACTGCAACCTCCGCCTCCCAGGTTCAAGCGATTCTCCTGCCTCAGCCTCCCGAGTAACTGGGACTACAGGTGCCCGCCACCCACACCGGGTTAATTTTTGTATCTTTAGTAGAGACAGGGTTTCATCACGTTGGCCAGGCTGATCTCAAACTCCTGATCTCAGGTGACCCACCAACCTCAGGCTCCCAAAGTGCTGGGATTACAGGCGTGAGCCACCGTGCCCAGCCCAGATTGTGCCATTTTAAAACATTCTCCAAAGCAGCAAGATTTCATTTTTTAACAAGACAGTATTACAGGTCTAAATTCAATTTAATATTCTCAAAATATTTCTGAGAACCTATTTTACAAAGTAAAGTACTAGGGGCTATAAAACTTACATACCCACAAATATATACATCTACTATGTACCCACAAAAATTGAAAATAAAAAAATTAAAAATAAAAAGCTTCACTTTGGGAGGTTGAGGCAGGCGGATCACTTGACTTCAAGAGTTTGAGATCAGCCTGGCCAACATGGTGAAACCCTGTCTCTACAAAAAATACAAAAGTTAGTCAGGTGATGGTGGCACATACCTATAATCCCAGCTACTGGGGAGGCTGAGGCAGGAGAATTGCTTGAACCAGGAGGCAGAGGTTGCAGTGAGCCTAGATTGCACCATTGCCCTCCAGCCTGGGCAACTCAAAAAAATAAATAAGTAAATAACAACAAAAAGCTGACATAGCCAAATAAGACAATCCTTGTTCAAAACATGTTGTATTATATGCTTAAAATGGTAAATACAAGGTACCTATACTGTGATAGTACAAACATTCACTAAATTGTTTAAAACATTTGTAAATGCCTCAGATAGCATGTCTTTGTCTACTGTTTGAGGATATTAAAATTGTTTCTTGATGTGATGATACTGTGGTATAATATGAAATATATTTGGCCAGGTGCGGTGGCTCACTCCTGTAATCCTAGCACTTTGGGAGGCTGAGGGGGGCGGATCATGAGGGCAGGAGATCGAGACCATCCTGGCTAACAGGGTGAAACCCTGTCTCTACTAAAAATACAAAAAAAAAAAAAAAAAAAAATTAGCCAGGCATGGTGCCCGGTGCCTATAGTCCCAGCTACTCAGGAGGCTGAGACAGGAGAATGGCGTGCACCCGGGAGGCAGAGCTTGCAGTGAATCGAGATCACACCACTGCACTCCAGTCTGGGCGACAGAGTGAGACTCTGTCTCAAAAAAATATATATATATTTGGTCTTTGTTTCAGGTTCCTGCCACAGAGCTTCTGAAATACTTGGAATTTCCTGAGTGATAGGAGCTGTCTTTTGTTATTCATTAGAAGCCCCTTTGGATCCCACCTAAGTTTATGCTATTGAAGTGACTTAGTGTGGGATCCCTAGGCCTCAGGATGGGACTGCTGCTCACTAAAAAAACTGACAGGTTAGATAATTGGAACTTTCATCCCCACCCACCAATCTCTGGGGAAGCTGGAAATTAAGATCTATAGAAATTTTTTTTTTTTTTTTTTGAGACAGGCTCTTGCTTTTTTACTCAGGCTGTGATGCAGTGGCATGATCATAGCTCACTGCAGCCTCAACCTCTGGGCTCAAGTGACCCTCTCATCTCAGCCTCCCAAGTAGTTGGGACTACAGGTGTGCACCGCCATGCCCAGCTAATTTTTATAAGATTTTTTGAATGGGATCTCACTGTGTTAGCCCAGGTTTGTCTCAAACTCCTGGGCTCAAGTGATCCTCCTACCTTGGTCCCCCAAATTGCTGGGATTATAGGTGTGAGCCACTGCACCCAGCCTAGACACTCCTGAACCACTAGATGTGATTAGCTTCAGGGTAGTTGAACACAGGGGGATGCTGGGGAGTTGGTGCACCCAGAGAGGGCACAGAAGCTCTGCACCTCTCCCACCGCATACCTTGCCCAATGCATTACTTCATCTGGCTGTTCATCTGTATCATTTATAATATTCTTTATAATAAACTGTTAAACATAAGTAAAGTGTTTCCCTGTGAGCCGACCTAGCTAATTATCAAAGCAAAAAGAGTGGTCATGGGAACCCTGATTTATAGCCAGTAGATTAGAAGCACTGGTCACAACCTGTGAATTGAGATTAGTGTCTGAGTGAAGGCAGTCTTGTGGTAGTCTCCAGGCAGACGGTGTCAGAATTAAGGTGAGTTACCGGATACCCAGTTGGAGAACTGGTTGATGTGTGGGGGAAAACTCCTACATATCTGGTGTCAGAAATAAAGTACTGGTTCACACCTGTAATCCTAGCACTTTGGGAGGCCGAGGCAGGCGGATCACCTGAGCTCACAAGTTCGAAACCAGCCTGGCCAACATGGCGAAACCCCGTCTCCACTAAAAATACAAAAAATTTAGCCAGGCGTGGTGGTGGTCACCTGTAATCCCAGCTACTCAGGAGGCTGAGGCAAGAGAATCACTTGAACCCAAGGGGCGGAGGTCACAGTGAGCTGAGATCGCGCCATTGCACTCCAGCCTGGGTGACAGAGCAGGCCTCCGTCTCAAATAAAACAAATAATGAAGGGTTTTTTCAAAAAATAGTACATGTAGATGGCTTTCTATTCACCACAAAAAAGTTTTCTTCCAAAGACTGAAAATATTTTTTGTCAGGTACACTGCCAAATACTGGATATTGCTGCTGTACAACATTTTATTTTTTATTTCAGTTATTTTGTTTTATACTTTATATTTTATTTTATCTTATTTTATTTTAAGATGGAGTTTTGCCCTTGTCGCCCATTTTATTTTATTTTATTTTATTTATTTTGAGATGGAGTTTTGCTCTTGACGCCCAGGCTGGAGTGCAATGGTGCAATCTCAGCTCACCACAACCTCTGCCTCCCAGGTACAAGCGATTCTCCTGCCTCAGCCTCCCTAGTAGCTGGGATTACAGGTGCCCACCATCACACCCGGATAGTTTTTCTATTTTCAGTCAAGACGTGGTTTCACCATGTTGGCCAGGCTGGTCTCGAACTCCTGACCTTAGGTGATTCACCCACCTCAGCCTCCCAAAATGCTGGGATTACAGGCATGAGCCACTACAACTGGCCCATTGTTGGTTTTAAAATGATAAATTGGGCTGGGTGCGGTGGCTCACACCTGTAATCCCAGCACTTTAGGAGGCAGGCAGATCACAAGATCAAGAGATCAAGACCATCCTGGCCAACATGGTGAAACCCCATCTCTACTAAAAATACAAAAATTAGCTGGGCGTGGTGGCATACACCTGTCGTCCCAGCTACTTGGGGGGCTGAGGCAGGAAAATTGCTTGAATCGGGGAGGTAGAAGTTGCAGTGAGCTAAGATCGCACCCCTGCACTCCAGCCCAGCAATAAAGCGAGACTCCATCTCAAAAAAAAAAAAAAAAAAACCCAAAAAACAAAAAGCAGGGCACGGTGGTTCACGTTTGTAATCCCAGCACTTTGGGAGTCCAAGGTAGGCAGATCACAAGGTCAGGAGTTCAAAACCAGCCTGGCCAACACAGTGAAACCCCATCTCTACTAAAAATACAAAAAATTAGCCGGGCATGGTGGCATGTGCCTGTAGTCCCAGCTATTCGGGAGGCAGAGGCAGGAGAATCGCTTCAACTGGGGAGGTGGAGGCTGCAGTGAGCCGAGATCATGCCATTGCACTCCAGCCTGGGCAACAGGGCGAGACTCCATCTCAAAAAAAAAAAAAAAACCAACAGTGACAAGTAGCATAACAACATTCTTTTTTTTCTTTGTTCTCTGAGATGGAATTTCACTCTTGTCCCCCAGGCTGGAGTGCAATGGGGGGATATCAGCTCACTGCAACCTCCGCCTCCCGACTTCAACCGAAGCTACTGCCTCAGCCGCACGACTAGCTGGGATTACAGGCCCCTGTACCATGCCCAACTAATTATTGTATTTTTAGTTGAGATGGGGTTTCACCATGTTGGCCAGGCTGGTCTCAAACTTCTGACCTCAGGTGATCTGCCTGCCTTGGCCTCCCTAAGTGCTGGGATTACAGGCGTGAGCCACGGCGCCCAGCCAACATTCTTTTCTCTTTTTTAATATACTTACATGAGGTATACATAGTACTTAAACCAATAAAACGACAAATATCTGAACTTCTTACCCAGTGTTTTGCAACTTCTTTCCACAGCTGTTCTTCGAGTTTGTTCAAACATTGCTTCCAAGTCAAATGTGCGAGCTTTTTTACCTAAAAGATGAACAAATGGGAGACTGTGATTGTCTTGCAGTAAGCTGGCCAAACTTTAGGCGATCAATACTGATCAATAAACACTTACTTTGTCTAGTTTATAGCATGGCTCCAATATAACCATAAAATATCAGAGAAGGAGTTTGAGTCACAGAAAACTTCTGATGACAATCCCTTCACTAAGTACTATTAACCAGGCAACTTTCCCATCCTCCTCTAGATCCCTACCCTATGAAACAACAACACTAATGTGGGAGGCAGAATGGAGAATGTCCCAAAAGTTACCCTTTGCAAATGTAATTAAGGTTATGGACTTTTAAATAGGGAAACTATCCTAGCTGGCCCTTAAAGGCAAAGATGCACAACAGCTATGGCGGAAGAAGTCAGAGAGATCCAACGTTTGAGAAGAATTTGAGGCGTTATAGTTGGCTTGAAGACGAAAGGGGCAACATGAGAAGTAATGCAGGTACTTTAAGGAGCTAAGAGGGAAACAGAAATCTCAGCCCTATAACAAGGAACTGTTGAGCATGGAAACATTCTCCTCCTCCCCCAGTAACTTTATCAAAACTCTTAAAATTTTCCCCTATTTGGCACAAACATATGGACACCTTTCTCACTCCTGAGTAAAGGAATGATGTACTAAAATGAAGGATTTATACCGGGTGGGGTGGCTCATGCCTGTAATCACTTTGAGAGGCTCAGGTGGGCGGATTGCTTGAGCTCAGGAGATCGATCAGCCTGGGCAACATGGTGAAACCTCGTCTCTACCAAAAGTATAAAAAATTAGCCAGGTGTGGTGGCACATATCTGTGGTCCCAGCTACTCAGGAGACTAAGGTGGGAGGATGGCTTAAGCCTGGGAGGAGGAGGCTGCAGTGAGCCAAGATCGCACTAGTACACTCCAGCCTGGGTGACAGAGCGAGCCTCCATCTCAAAAAATAAAAAAATAGAAAAGGCTGGGCGCGGTGACTCACGCCTGTAATCCCAGCACTTTCGGAGGCCGAGACAGGCGGATCACGAGGTCAGGAGATCGAGATCATCCTGGCTAACACGGTGAAACCCCATCTCTACTAAAAATACAAAAAAAATTAGCCAGGCGAGGTGGCGGGCGCCTGTAGTCCCAGCTACTCGGGAGGCTGAGGCGGGAAAATCGCGTGAATCCAGGAGGCAGAGCTCGCAGTGAGCCGAGATCTTGCCACTGCACTCCAGCCTGGGCGACTGAGCGAGACTCCGTCTCCCAAAAAAAAAAAATGAATAGAAAAACTACAGAACTAGTATGTGTGAACAGAACCCAAGGCCAATATGTGTAAGTCTACTGTTTAATTACTATCATAGAATTAATACACGCTGGTCAAAAGAGAACAAGAAGACCTTGAGAAAAGGTTCAAGGAAGTTAGAATCCCAATGTTTGGATGAACAGCATTTATAATTTTAAAATGCAAAATAAAAAGAAATCATTTTTCATGTATCAGTCTACTAAAGTTTTGTTTTCATTTTTAAAATAATTTTCTTTTTAAATAATAATACCTACTCTGTGTTGGTACGGATATGGTAAAAATGGCATTCTTAAATTCTGTTAACTTTGGTATAACCTGAAACAAGTTTTTTGATGGGTATTACGGCAGTAAGCATCAAGAAGCTTTAAAAGGCACATACCCAATTTTTCAGCTTTTTAAGTATTTATACTTCTGAATAAACTAGGCTCTCTTTTAGAAATCTACCCTACAGAATTACATATTTTTAAAAATCCTCGTACAAATGCTGTTATTTACAAAAATGTTCATTTTAGCATTATTGGTGACTTAAAATTAGAAAAATCCTTTCTCTTCCTTTCTCTCCAGGACTCTCATAACTGTCACCTGAGTTGGTTCCAACGGATACGCAGAATAGAAGACAAATGGGAGAAGAATATTGACAAACTGCAAGGTATGCACCCGAGCTACAGTAATTCCGAGTTGACAGCTCGATCTCCCCTCCCACTCTGCGGCTCTTCAAACCTCTGCAAAAGGAAGAGGGTCTCTGCCTGGGGCAGTCACTCACCGAACCCCGTGAAGCCCATGGTGACCGCAAGCTGCGGGTCCGGTCCCGATGCGTCTGAGCCTGTCACTGGAGCAAGAAAAGAGAGGCGGCCTAGTTAGTGCGGCGCCCCAGCTCCCCCGACACGGCCCACCCCGCCAGGACTCGCTTCATGAAACCCACCTTCGCTGGGCCCAGAGCGCTCCATGGCTGGCCGCACGCCGCAGAACCAGCCACAGAGACAGCCCAAACTGCAGGGGAACTTGCCAATAACTCGCGGCAAATGCTGGAGGAAGTACCGCCTCCAAGCTACAGCGGCGCCGCCGAAGCCAAGAGCGGCGCCTTCCGCAGAGGGACTGCGGCTTTCTGCGCGGCGCCCCCTACCGGACAGGCGGGAAAGCGCCGCGCAACTCAGACCACTGAAGGGGAGTAGTATCTGGAGTTTCTGTAACATCCTTTCCCTTTTTTTTTTTTTTAAGCCAGAGCCTCTGTCGCCCAGGCTGCAGTACAGTGGCGTAATCTCAGCTCACTGCAACCTCTGCCTCCCGGGATCAAGCGATTCTCCTTCCTCAGCCTCCCGAGTAGCTGGGATTACAGGTGCCCGCCGGCTAATTTTTGTTTTTGTTTGTTTTTGTTTTTGTTTTGAAACGGAGTCTCTGTCGCCCAGGCTGGAGTGCAACGGTGTGATCTCGGCTCACTGCAACCTCCGCCTCCCGGGTTCAAGCGATTCTTCTGTCTCGGCCTCCCAAGTAGCTGGGATTACAGGCGTCCACCACCACGCGCAGCTAATTTTTTGTATTTTTAGTAGACACGAGGTTTTGCCATGTTGGCCAGGCTGGTTTCGAACTCCTGGCCTCAAGTGATCCGCCTGCCTCGGCCTCCCAAAGTGCTGGGATTACAGGCGACACCCTTTGCTTTTTTTTTTTTTTTTTTTTTTTTTTTTGAGGCGGAGTATCACTCTGTTGCCCAGGCTGGAGTGCAATGGCGTGATCTCGGCTCACTGCAACCTCTGCCTCCCAGTTTCAAGAGTTTCTTCTGCCTCAGCCTCCCAAGTAGCTGGCACTGCAGACACGCACCACCACACCCAGGTAATTTTTTGTATTTTTAGTAGAAACAGGGTTTAACCATATTGACCAGGCTGGTCTCAAACTCCTGACCTCCTGATTCACTCATCTCGGCCTCCCAAAGTGCTGGGATCACAAGCGTGAGCCATCGCAAATACAAATATTCATTAAACGTATAGGCTGTCTACTTACTCGATGACCTTTCTACCTAGACTAAAGCCAAAAAACTCTGACACCCTAAAAGATTCATAAATTATTTACTACATAAGGTTTAGATGCATCATTACCAATATTGCACATAGAAATTTAATGTTGTTAGTTGAGCAAACAGATGCCATGACTATTTCTTCTCTTTATAAATCTTGGTGGCTTATGGCAGCAGAAGCCTACTCCACTATTTAGGCTCCTATGACAGCTACTTTTCCCCTATTGAGCAAGTTTCACCTTAAGTTACTACCAAAAAAATTATACAATTAATATATTTTGTACCTCCTGAAAATAACTGTTTATATTATCATCTCAAGTAAAATAAAATATTTTCACAGAGAGATGGAGAGATGTGTAGAAAATTTATCAAATATTAACCTCTTCCTAAACATGGGGTTGAATTCCTCCAGTAACATTGTAACGTTGTTAGAATTATGTGAAAGGGGGCTTTGTCTCAACTATCCTGCTAGTCATTCATTCAACAGCACTCTATTTATGTTGTATGTTTCCCTAAATGTTTCCATTTTTGCCTCCAAACACTGCTAATTTGGTTTGGTTGCTATTTATTTTATACTGTCTTATAAATCCCCTGGAAAGTGTATTGCCCCATGCCTGCACACACTGCAGTACAAGAGTGTACTGAAGTACATAATGGAAGAGTTGGTTTTTTCTGCCACTCCATCACTTGAGTTTAAATAATAAGGAAACACAGAAATCTAAAACATTTTGAACAGTTAAGAATTATTAAAAGAAAGTAGAATGACAAACAGGAAAATTATCTATCCATATCTATATATGTATATCTTTCTAGAAATGTCCAAAAGGACAAAAGAGGAAAAAATGAAGGGAAAATCATGAACCCTTGAATATGAGTCCTTCTGAGCAAAACTCTGTTCTTAGCATTTCTCCACTATTATCAAGTTTCTAGTATCCTCCAAGAAAATACCATATTATCATCCTGGAACTTTGGTAGTATATACCTGTCCTTTCTATCCCTATCTACAGAGACCTGTCTGATTTAGATTCTAAACTGACCTTCCTCATTTTTTTTTTTTTTGAGACAATATTGCTCTGTTGCCTATGGTGGAGTTTAGTGGTGTAATCTAGCCTCACTGCAACCTTTGCCTCCAGGATTCAAGTAATTCTCATGCCTCAGCCACCTGAGTAGGTGGAATTAGAAGTGTTCCTCATTTTTAAAACTCTAGAACACAGAAATTTTATTTGTCTCCCAAAGTCCAAAAATTTAAGAATAAAAGAAAAATTAAGAGTCAGCTTTGATATCCTGACATACAGTCTTCTTTGAGATATTAATACCTTTTATAATAAAAATGAATGGGTATTTTTGTGACTTTTTAGTAAGAAAATAGTGAACCAAACCTGCTTGCACACATTTATATTTACATAATTCTCAAAGACAAATATTTAATTATAGAAACGGTATATATACATATGTACACACATACATACATTAGTGACTCATATTCAAGGACTCATATTCTAGGGTTCATAGTTTTCCCATATATATATATATACACACACACACACATATATATATACATACACACACACGTATATACACATATAAAATACTAAAAAATGTTTAAAAGTTAACTTGTAAATCTTACATTCAGATATTCTGATTTACCGTGTCTATATCAAGACTCAATGTGGTTTTGTAAAAGTAAACACTCCAAGTAGTTTTGATGCAAGTCATCTAAATCACTCATTAAAAAAATTGTGGCTCATAAGTGTTCATTAACAAATAAATGGATAAAGAAAATATGGTATATATACACAAAGGAATACTACAGAGCCATAAAAAGAATCAAATCATGTTATTTGCAGAAACATGAATGAAACAATAGGTCCTTATGTTAAGTGAAACAAGCCAAGCATAGAAAGACAAATATTGCATATTCTCACTCATTTGTGGGAGCTAAAAAGTCTGATCTCAGGAAGGTAGAGAGTAGAATGATGGTTAACAGAGGCTGGGAAGGAGGCAGGATGAAGATAGATATTGGCTAATGGGTGCACATATAGAGTTATATAGAAGCGATAAGTTCTAGTGTTCAATAGCACACAAGAGTGATTATACTTAGCAATAATTTATTGCCTATTTCAAAATATTTAGAAGAAAAGACTTAAAATGTCCCCAACACATACACACGAAATAAATGTTGGAGGTAGTGGATATACTAATTAACACGATTTGGCCATTATGCATTGTATGCATGCGTCGAAACATCACATGAACCCCTTAAATATGTACAATCAATATGTATCAATTCACAAAGACGGAAAGATGGAAATGTTTTCGTTTATAAAAACAAGGATGGAAAAAAACATCCTTACCTAAATACTGTCCACAATGTCACCGGTGCTTTGCATCATTCAGGTGAGCGATGTTAGTGTCCCTTCTACTTATCCCCGGGGTTTAATTTGCACCAAGATTGTTGTCTGCACAAAGATTCAATAATATACAGAAAATCTTATGGTGACCCAGAGAAGATGTGAAATGATTATAGTTTTATGCCTTAGATGACGTTGCATTTCTAGCCATGGCAACACATCCCCAGAAACTTTTCTGTAATTAAAATGGAAATACTATATGATTTATCATTTCATTATAAAAGTAGTTACTCTATATGTGGAAGGTTTTGGTGGTGTAATTTCCCCAGATATGTATATCAATATGTGCGAGCAAATGCTTGTAAGTAAAAACAGATAAGATAATTTTATATTCTATATGATGTTAAGAGTGTTAAGCCAGAGCAAAATTTCATTTTGAATATGGTAACCCTGGATTTGTTGTTTCAGTCTGGATTTTATATTTTAGATAGGGTTAATTAATCAGAAAATAGCTCACTCTTACTGCCTCTTCTGAAATTTTAACAAATAGTTTTGTTATCTGTTAAATATCAGCACCTTTAAAGTCTTTGGAGAGACTCTTTTCAGTTTCAGTAAAGCATTAGTGTTTGTACACTAATGTATGTTTGTCAGGTTTACTTATTTATTTATTGACCTCAGTGCAGGAAAATTTCACCCCAGGGGGTCTTACATTATTTTTCTACTCCAAAATACATAGGCTACACAGAACAACATCATTAGCAACATTGTTTCAGCAAGGAAATAATCCTTATTGGCAAAGGGAAACCAAGGAAAGAAAACTATTGTTTTCTTCAGCTACATGCTGTCTGCAAAGCACCCCATGGATTCAATTTCTCATCAGTTCAGAATGGAATACTAACGTGCTGCCTAGAGATACAGAAGTGGGATGAACGCAGGGCCTTACTCAGCATTCAGAACAAAACTGTGAGTAAACTTTCAGGCATGACATGCTTAGAGTCAGTCATAGAGGAAAAATAGAAGCCTCAAGTTCTATTCAGAGACATCAACTTACCAAAGTTTAGGCTAGTATATTCCTCATTTGCACGGGTGCTTTCCAAAGACCCGGATGCGACGTTAGCAAAGTCTTCTCATGACCATTCGTGTGCAATAAATTCATAAAGGTAAAATATGTGTATTTATTCTCCATATATTTTTTAATTGTATAAGCTTCAGGCTCGGAGGTGGCTTGGAAAAGATGTCCCTGACTGCATCTCCCTTCACTGCATCTTTGTTCAGCAAAATCTTAATTAAGAGCAAATCATCCTTCACTGATATCGGTGAATACGGTAACATGAAAAAAATAATAAGATGATGGTAGAGAGAACATGGAAGGGGAGGTGAATAATGAACTGGAATGTCCAGTTGGAAAAACCATCTAGAAAGTATTGAGAAGGTATAATGATTGATACTATCATAGTAAAGTAAGAAGACATAGAGAAGTAGTGTTGACACATCCCATGTTTTGCTAGTCTCAGAATTAAAACTTAAAGAAATAATAGTCAATAATTTTTAATGATTAAATAAAAATGATGAAAAGACAATGGATTAAAATAAAACAAACAAAACTGCCTCTACATTATCGATGTTAATGTTAAGGAAGTTAAAGACAAAAAAATAAGCTTCCAGACAGAAAAAAACTTAACTACAAAGAAGTCAAGTGGAGATGAACATAAAGTATGAAAAAAATCTTTCTATACAACATGCAATTAGACGTATCTAATAACTTAATATATAATATAGTATAATACATCTTGTTAATAAGAATAATTTAGAATGCATTAAGTTTACCTATAATTTATAGGTTGATTAGCCATAGTAAACATGATAATACATAAATGTAGTTCTGTAATTTCAGTATGTAATGACTCCCTACAATAACTTTTGGAAGAAGTATACATATGGGGGGAATCAATAAGACATACTCCATCAATCAGCTATTGTTGAGTAAAAACCACATCAAAACTCAGCAGATTAAAACAATAATTATTTATTATTTCTCATGATTGAGCCAAATCTGGCTGATCTATGCTTATATATCTGAGAACTCAGTTAACAATAGGTTAGTGGAAGTCAGTCTGTACTGAGACTACTGGTATCTGCTCTGTTGTAATTAACCTTGTGGGGCGAACATCGCTCATGACATTGACAGGGCTCCAAAAGCAACAACAGAAACAAGAAAGCTGTTTGAAGCCTAAGCTCATGGATGACACATTCTCAATTCTGCCGCATTTATTGGTAAAATGTTATCCCAGAATCAAAAGGTGGGGACACAGACTATAGTTGTCTGGAGAAGGTGCAAAGTCATAATGCAGAGACTGGATACAAAGAGAGATAAAAGCTTGCTGCCATTTTTGTAATCAATCAACAACAAATGATAAACTGGAGTGACTAAAGACATTAGTAAATTTAGATTGCCTGGACCAACAGAAAGCACCTGCTATGGCCTGAATTGTGTTTCTCCAAAATTCATACATTAAAGCCTTAATATTCATGTGATGATATTTGGAGACAGAGTCTTTAGAAAGTAATGGAGTTAGATGAGGTCATGAGGATGGGGCTGTTATGATGAGATTAAGGCCCTCATAAGATGAGGAAGAGACAGCAGAGTTTTCTCTTTCTGAGCAAATACATCGAGAAAAAGCCACGTGAAGACATAGTGACAGTCAACAATTCACAACCCAAAGAGAAACCACTCAACAGGCCCTGGTCCTGTTGCCACCTTAATTTTGAACTTCCAGTCTCCAGAACTGTGAGAAAAGCGATTTCAGTTGCTTATGCCACCAGTTCATGGTATTTCGTTATGGCAACCTAAGCAGACTAAGAGAGCATCTCTTTGGAATGGCTTTGAAATATTTAAACAGCTCTCACTTTCTTCCATACTTTCAATTATTCGTGCTAAGCCAAGAATCTTCAGGTGTTTACAGGCCTTTTGGGATATTGATTTTAGAATGCTGACACTCCAAAAGAGTTATATCCATGCCTTTGGTAAACTCAACAATGCACTACTAAATAGTTAATGGCAGATATACATTTTGGGATATTTTAGGTTTCTAAACTCAAGTGTGCTCAAAAATCAGGGGAAAAAAAATGGCTCTTAAAAAAAAAAAGAAGTCCAAAAGTAAGTTAAGATTTACATTTAGCTGGTCATTTTCCTCCATATTTCCCTCAAGCTAGATTCTATTTGTCTTGTGCTTCTGCTATCTACTTATGGTGGGAAATTTATGCTCAGCTGAACAAAATTTGATTTCTTGTGACTCCTGGTTGAGAGCCAGACAGGTCCTTTCACAGATGCTCTCAACAATCTGCTCCTTCATTAAATGAGCTTAAGGATGCTCATCTCTGAACCAATGACAAGGTTACAAGGAGGAGAGGAGGATGCCTGAACACCACCAGGGTCTGTGAAGGAACGTGGACTAGGAAATTGATTTTTGGCAGGCAACCAACTATGCCCTTGGGATGAGATTTGTGCCCAGATTGCCAAAGGATTGTGCAATGACTACAAGGTCGTAACAGTGAAGATGGTCATGGAAACAATGAATCTGAGTGTCAGAGCACTGAAGAGATGGCAAAGACCTATGGATGCATGAAAACATTCCTATGCTGAACACCCCAGAAATATTTACCAATGTTACCCATAATTATAGACATAATTATGGGTAGACTTCTTAGAAAAAAATAGAGTTGCATGTAATTTCATGTTAGATGTCTTTCTCAGAATACACCATGAGCACATGAAGAATAAGAAGCAGAGACCAAAGGAAAGTAAGCAAGCTGTGCAACTTACAGGGAACAATTTGAATTGGCCCACATCTTGGAATTTTTCTGACCACATTTTATAAATCTCTGAAAAGCTCAGAGGTCCTATATGGTATATTAATTATAACAGATATACAACTATTATATATGTGTGTAAATATATATATCTGTGTATATATGTGTATATATAGATGTATATGTGTATATATGTATGTGCATATACATGTGTATATATGTGTGTGTATATATATGTGTGTGTATATGTGTGTGTATGTTTATATATATGTGTGAATACACGTATATGGATCTTTGTGGAGAAAATTAACATATATATGAATCTTTGTGGAGAAAATGCACGAGGAATTAATCAGGAATAGAGGAAAAGTTATGCCACCTTCCAAAAGAAAAACAAATTCTACTAAAGGCTTGCAGAATCTTCAGTGGAGATTCTGAAGATTCCGAAGATTCCTCCACTGAAGATTTTGCAAGTGTTTAGTAGAATCTGGAGCCATGAGGAGAGGGAACGAATGGGCAGTCAGAAATTACCACATCGTACATAGTTTTGAGAAAATAGGAAAAAAATTGAGTACGTTATTTTCTATTTTGCTTCATCATACAATATATTAGACCAAATATTCAGTAGAGCATTGGGAAAGACAGATGGCATGGTGTAGAAGTCTCATGCACAGACAAGGAAGCCATAAAATGTCAATGTTCATTTTTGAGAGGGATGTGGATTAGAGATGAGGGTCATACAGGAATTCTCAGTACCTACATTTACTTTTTTTTAGTGCTCAATCCTTACTCTTCAAATGGGGGGTTTGAATGGAAACTGCTTATATGGGAGTAGCAAGGTTTGATTCGAGTCATTCTTAAGCGGTTTTTGCTATACTCCTAAGAAACTCCAGTTAGGGAGGCAGGAGTCTCATCTAACTTGAGAGGTCTCCATTTATCATTAATTAGAGAGGAACAAGAAAGCACTATGATCCGACATACAGAGAAAAATGTGCTAATAATGAAAGCAGCCTATGAAATGCAGAAAATTAAAAAAAAATGGAATAGCAGAGGTACATGCCTGAAGGTGACCATGACCAATGACAGTGAATTGAGTTATCATTTGTGTTCACATTCATATTTAATATTTGTGTTTTGGGTTGACAATGGAAAATAAATGGATCAGACACAAAGTTAAAACTTAAATTTAGCCATATATTTTATAATATTTACCAAATACTTAAATTCTACATATCCTGAAAAATCTTGAAATTGATGGAGAAAAAAACATGTTTTATCTAGCCATATTCTATCTCTTATAGGTAATAATATATAACTCAATCATGACAATATATTACAGCAGTGTAGGATATGTCAGTTTAAAGCCAAAGCCTTATATATTTAGTATTAAAGTTATTAAGCTGTTAGTATCTTATTTTTTTCAAAATGGAATCATTTTGAATGAAGTTAACTATAAATTAATGATAAAATCAATGACCTTGTGTCCCTTATTAAGATACTGTGGAGACAATATTTTGTTATTTAACGTTCACTATTCATTGGGAGGAGGGGGAATTAGGGGTGGCCCTGGTGAAAGTACTTCAACCTAGAAATTTGGTAGGCTTTATAGTTACTGCTTTATGAGAAAGAAAAGAGACTCTGAAAAGTTCAGTAATCTTACCTATGGTAACACAGCTAGTGAACTGTGGGTATTAATCCTAAAATTTTGTCATTTAGCTAATTCCCTAAGCATTTTTACTATCTCTTCTCGTTTCTCTTTGTTTAGATTTTTCAATCCAATTCACGTTAAGAAGATAACTTATTTTTTTTTATTTTTTATTTGATGGTTCTTTCTTTTTTTAAAAAAAAAATCTCAATAGTTTCAGGGAACAGGTGGTGTTTGGTGGTGATTTCTAAGATTTTGATATACCAATCATCTGAGCAGTGTACACTGTACTCAGTATGTAATCTTTTTATCCCTCACTTCTCTGCCACCCTTCTCCCTGAATACTCAGAGTTCATTTTATCATGCTAATACCTTTGCATCCTCATAGCTTAGTTCCCACTTATAAGTAAGAACATACGATGTTTAGTTTTCCATTCCTGAAATACTTCATTTAAAATAACGGTCTCCAACTCTGTCCAGGTTGCTGTGAATGCCATTATTTTGTTTATTTTTATGGCTTAGTATTCCATTATATATACATCTATCTATACAATAGAGTTGCATATAACTTAATATTAGATGTCTCCCTCAGAATAAACCACGAGCACATGAAGAATAAGAAGCAGAGACCACAGGAAAGTAAGCAAGCTGTGCAAGTTACAGGGAACTCTCTCTATATATAATATATATATGTGTGTGTGTATGTGTGTGTGTGTGTGTGTATGTATATATAACATTTATATATAAATTTATATATTTATTATATATAACATATAAATATTATATATAAATGTTATATATTTTATATATATATATAAAACATTTTCTTTGGTTGATGGGCATTTGGGCTTGTTCCATACGTTTGCAATTGCAAATTATGCTGCTATAAACATGCCTGTGCAAGTGTCTTTTACATATAATGACTTCTTTTCCTCTGGGTAGATACCCAATAGTGGAATTGCTGGATCAAATGGTAGATCGACTTTTCAGTTATTTAAGGAATCTCCCTACTATTTTTTAAAATGGTTGTACAAGTTTACATTTTCACCAGCAGTGTAAAAGCGTTCCCTTTTCACCATATCCATGCCAACATCTGTTATTTTCTTATTTTTAAATTGTGTCCATTCTTGTAGGAGTAAGGTTATATCCCATTGTGGTTCTGATTTGCATTTTCCTGATAATTAGTGATATTGAGCACCTTTTTATATGTTTGTTGGCCATTTGTATATCTTCTTCTGACAATAGTCTATTCATTTCCTTTGCCCACTTTTTGATGGGATTATTTGTTTTTTTTTCTTGCCGATTTGTTTGAGTTCCATGTAGATGCTGGATGTTAGTCCCATGTCAGATGCATAGTTTATGAATATTTTCTCCCACTCTGTGGGTTGTCTGTTTACTCTGCTGATTGTTTCTTTTGCTGTGCAGAAGTCTTTTGGTTTAATTAAGTCGCATCAATTTATCTTTGCTTTTGTTGTATTTGCTTTTGGGTTCTTGGTCATGAAGTCTTTGCCTTTGCCTAAGCCAAAGTCTAGAGGGTTTTTCTGATGTCATCTTCTAGAATTTTTTTTTTTATGGCTTCAGGTCTTAGGTGTAAATCTTTGATCCAACTTGAGTTGACTTTTGTATAAGGTGAGAGATAAAGATCCAGTTTTATTCTTCTACATGTGCTTTGACAATTATCTCAGCACCATTTGTATAACAGAGTGTCCTTTCCCCCACTTTATGTTTTTGTCTGCTTTGTCAAAGATCAGTTGGCCGTACGTATTTAGCTATATTTCTGCATTCTCTATTCTGGTCCATTGGTCTATGTGCTTATTTTTATACTAGTACCATGCTGTTTCAATAACTATAGGCTTATAGTATAGTTTGAAGTTGGGTAATGTGATGCCTCCAACTTTTTTCTTAGTCCTGCTTTTGCTATGTGAGCTCTTTTTTTGTTTTCCATGAATTTTAGGACTGATGTTTCTAGTTCTGTGGAGAATGCTGGTGGTATTTTGATTGGAATTGCATTGAATGTGTAGATTGCTTTCAGCAGTATGATCGTTTTTACAATATTGATTCTATCCATCCATGAGCATGGGATTTGTTTCTATGTGTTTGTGTCACCTATGATTTTTTTTTTTCAGGAGTGTTTTGTAGTTTTCATTTTTAAGGCCTTTTACCCCCTTAGTTAGGTATATTTCTAAGTATTTTTGTTTGTTTTTGCAGCTGTTGTAAAAGTGATTGAGTTCTTGATTGGATTCTCAGCTTGGATGTTGTTGGTGCATAGCAATGCTATTGATTTGTGTACATTGATTTTGTATTCTGAAACTTTACTGAATTCATTTATCAGATCTAGGAGCTTTTTAGGAGTCTTTACAGACCAATATCTCTGATGAACATAGATGCAAAAATCCTCAACAAAATACTAGATGACCAAATCCAACAACACATCAAATAGATAATACATCATAATTAAGTGGGTTTCATTCCAGGGATGCACAGTTGGTTTAACACACATGAGTCAATAAACGTGACACACCACATAAACAGAATTAAAAACAAAAACTATATGATCATCTCAATAGGTACAGAAAAAAACACTGGACAAAATCCAGCATTTCTTTATGATTAAAACCCTCAGCAAAATCAACATAGAAGAAAAATACCTTAAGGAAATAAGAGCCATATATGACAATCCCACAGCCAACATTATACTGAACAGGGAAAAGTTGAAAGCATTCCACCCTGAAAACTGGAATAAGACAAGGATGTCCACTTTCATAATTTCTATTCAACACAGTACTGCAAATCATAGCCAGAACAAGCAGATAAGAGAAAAAAGTAATGGGCATCCAAATTGCTAAAGACGAAGTCAAACTGTCACCGTTCACTGATGGTATGATCACATAACAAGAAAATATTTTAAATTACACTAAAAAGTAAAGCCAATTGCAAAATGGTGTTGCCACTTTGGAAGACACTTTAGCACCTTCTTATAAAACTAAACATACTTGTACCAAATGATCTGGCAGTTGTGCTCCTTGGTATTTACCCAAATGATTTTAAAACCTATGTTCATACAGAAACCTGCACAGGAATGCTTACAGAAGCTTTATGTTTAATTACACAAACCAGAAAGCAATTAAGATATCTTCTAATACATAAATAGACAGCCTAGTAATCCATACATTTAAATATTATAATATTGTTTAGCAGTTAAAAGAAACAAGTTTTTGCTGGCAAGATGGCCAAACAGCTTCAGTCTGCAGCTCCCAGTGAGACTGATGCAGAAGGTAGGTGATCTCTGCATTTCCAACTGTGGTACCCCATTCATCTCATTGGGAATGGTTGGAGAGTGGGTGCGGCCCACGGAGGGTGAGCCAAACCAGGGTGGGGTGTCGCCTCACCTGGGAAACCCAAGGGGTCAGGGGCTTTCCCTCCCCTAGCCAAGAGAAGCCATGAGAGACTGTACTGGGAGGAGTGGTGCACTCCAGCCCAGATACTGCACTTTTTCCACAGTCTTCACAACTGGCAGAACAGGAGATTCTCTCTGGTGCCTATGCCACCAGGGCCCTGGGTTTCAAGCACAAAACTGGGTGGCCATTTGGTC
Organism: Homo sapiens; assembly: GCF_000001405.40. Classification (NCBI taxonomy): domain Eukaryota; kingdom Metazoa; phylum Chordata; class Mammalia; order Primates; family Hominidae; genus Homo; species Homo sapiens. Next base: position 21,447,100 of record NC_000005.10, on the reverse strand, counting down.
AGATACCAAGCTAGCTGCAGAACTTTATTTTTTTCATACCCCAGTGGCACCTGAAATGCCAGCGAGACAGAACCATTTACTCCTGTAGAAAAGGGGCTGAAGCCAGGGAGCCAAGTGGTCTGGCTCTGCAGGTCCCACCCCCACAAAGCCCGGCAAGCTAAGATCCACTGCCTTGAAGTTCTTGCTGCTAGCACAGCAGTCTGAGGTCAACCTGGGATGCTCAAGCTTGGTGGAGGGAGGGGCAACCGCCATTGCTGAGGTTTGAGTAGACGGTTTTACCCTCTCAGTGTAAACAAAGCCCCCTGGAAGTTTGAACTGGACGGAGCCCACCGCGGCTTAGCAAGGCCTCTGCAGTCAGACTGCTCCTCTAGATTCCTCCTCTCTGGGCAGGGCATCTCTTTACAAAAGGCAGCAACCCCAGTCAAGGACTTATAGATAAAACCGCCATGTCTCTGGCACAGAGCACCTGGGGGAAAGGGTGGCTGTGGGCACAGCTCCAGTAGACTTAAACATACCTGCAGACTTAAACATACCTGCCTGACAGATCTGAAGAGAGCAGTGGTTCTCCCAGCACAGCATTCAAGCCCTAATAAGGGACAGGCTGCCTCTTCAAGTGGGTCCCTGACCCCACGTATCCTGACTAGGAGACACCTCCCAGAAGGGGATGACAAACACCTCTTACAGGAGAGCTCTGGCTGGCATCTGGCAGGGCTAACATCCAGAATCTACAAAGAACTTAAACAAATGTACAAGAAAAAAACAAACAACCCCATCAAAAAGTGGGCAAAGTATATGAACAGACACTTCTGAAAAGAAGACATTTATGCAGCCAACAAACATATGAAAAAACCTCATCATCACTGGTCATTAGAGAAATGCAAATCAAAACCAGTGAGATACCATCTCATGCCAGTGAGAATGATGATCATTAAAAAGTCAGGAAACAACAGATGCTGGAGAGGATGTTGAGAAATAGGGACACTTTTACACTGTTGATGGTAGTGTAAATTAGTTCAACCATTGTGGAAGACAGTGTGGCAATTCCCCAAGTATCTAGAACTAGAAATACCATTTGACCCAGCGATCGCATTACAGGGTATATACCCAAAGGATTATAAACCATTCTACCATAAAGACACATGCGCAGTATGTTTATTGAGGCACTATTCACAATAGCAAAGACTTGCAACCAACCCAAATACCCATCAATGATAGACTGGATAAGAAAATGTGGCACATATACGCCATGGATTACTATGCATCCATAAAAAAGGATGAGTTCATGTCCTTTGCAGGGACATGGATGAAGCTGGAAACCCTCATTCTCAGCAAACTAACACAAGAACAGAAAACCAAACACTGCATGTTCTCATTCATAAGTGACAGCTGAACAATGAGAACACATGGACACTGTGGGGGGTGGCGGGCATCACACACCATGGCCTCTTGGGGGGTGGGGGCCTGGAGGAGAGATAGCATTAGGAGAAATCCCGAATGTAGATGACGGGTTGATGGATGTAGCAAACCACCATGGCACATGTATACTTATGTACTGAAACTGTATGTTCTGCACATGTAGCCCAGAACTTAAAGTATATATAAAAAAAAAAAGTTCTCTAGCCTGAAAAGACATGGGAAAACCTTAAATGCACATTGCTAAGTGATATAAACTGATCTGTAAGTGCTACATACTGTATAATTTTAATTATATGACTTTCTGGAAGAGGCTAAAGTACGAAGACAGTGAAATGATCAGTGGTTGCTAAGGTTCCAGGTTGAGGGAGGTGAAACTGTCCTATATGATACTGGAATAGTGGGTACATATCATTCCATATTTGTTAAAACCCATAGAATATATGCACATAGTTAGCACTGTTGTTAACTTCACACAAACAGTGAACCATAATGTAAACTATGGACTATAGTTGATAATAATGTATCAGTATTGGCTTATCAATTGTATAAAAAAAGTACCATCCTAACACAGAATGTTATTAATGGAGAACACTGCAGGGTGAGGGCAAGGTAAATAAAGGGACATAGGAAAACTCTATATTTCCTACTTCATTTTTTTGTGCACCTAAACCTGCTTTTAAAATGCGTCCTTTTTTTTTTTAATGAATCCAATAGCATTCACGTTGTTTTCTTCATGGTTAATATATAGAGGTTGAGAAGACTTATAATATCATCATGTCTAGTTAATTATAATTTTAATTATAAATTCTGACCACATCACAGCGTTTGTTATTTAATCTTTAATTATTACTGTTTATAATAACATTTTGTAGTATTATAGGATCCTACTCATGCTTATTAATTTTGTTGTGTTAAATATTTACCAGTTTAAAGGCTATTTCAAAAGTCTCTAGCATTTATTTTTAAAAGATTTCTCTTTAAGAAAGTTGTACTAGAGGGGAAAGGGTGATCTACCATTTCATTAATCACTTTGCTAATTTAGTATTTCGTGATTTTACTACTTTTCTATTCATTGTTTTGTTTGATTGAATGTGCTCTAATTTCTCAACTACGGGAAATATATCAAGCTAACAAAGTCTTAGAAAAATAAATTTTTAATAGAAAATACGTGACTATCCCTTCATGAAAATGCAAAGTAAAGCAAAGTATTCCCTTTTCTGTTGACCATCTCTAAAAAATAAAGGAAAAATCACTTTTCTGTACTTTAACTTTACTTTTTACCTTACATTATCTTACCTTACCTTATCTCCCCTTCATTCCTCTTACCTTCCCTTCACTTTCTTACTGTTTGCTGTGTGGGATGTTGGTGATTAAGATCATTTACTTGTCAGTGACTCAACTGATTAAAGTCATTTTTTGAAAAACTGAGTTTGGGAGGGGATCATCATGGCAGATGGGAGGCAGGACTAGATTGCAGGTGTGGACACAGCAGCTTGCGGAAGCTTGCATTGTGAATTTTAGCTCCAGATCAACTGCAAGAACAAACCAGCAATCTCGAGAGAACCCACAGACCCTATGAAGGAAGGGGAATGCTCCTGCAGGACCTGGGAGACACCCTAAATACTCCACCCCCACCAGAACAAGTGCTGTTATCCACGGCTGAGAGATCCATAGACGGTTCACATCACCGGACTCTGTGCAGACAAACCCCAGTACCAGCCCGGAGCCAGGTAGACTCACTGGGTGGCTAGACCCAGAAGAGAGACAACAATCACTGCAGTTTGGTCCACAGGAAGCCACATCCATAAAAAACGGGGAGAGTACCTCATTGAGGGAACACCCCGTGAGACAAAAGAATCTAAATAACAGCCTTCAGCCCTTGGCCTTCCCTCTGACAGGGCCTACACAAATGAGAAGGAACCATTAAACCAGGCCTGGTAATATGACAAAACAAGGCTCTTTAACACCTCGGAAAAATCACACTAGTTCACCAGCAATGGATCCAAACCAAGAAGAAATCCCTGATTTACCAGAAAAGGAATTTAGGAGGTTAGTTATTAAGCTAATCAGGAAGGTACCAGAGAAAAGAGAAGCCCAATGCAAGGAAATCCAAAAAAATGATACAAGAAGTGATAGGAGAAATATTCAAGGGAATAGATAGCTTAAAGAAAAAACAAAGAGCATAAACTAACATTCTAAGGTCACACCTCAAGGAACTAGAGAAACAAGAACAAACCAAACCCAAGCCCAGAAGAAGAAAGGAAATTATCAAGATCAGAGCAGAACTAAAGGAAATTGAAACAAAAATATACAAAACATAAATAAAACAAAAAGCTTGTTTGTTGGAAAGATACGTTAAATCGATAGACCATTAGGAAGATTAACCAAGAAAAGAAGGGAGAAAATCCAAATAACTTCACTGAGAAATGAAACAGGAGATATCACAAGTGACACTGCTGAAATACAGAAGTTCATTCAAGGCTACTATGAATACCTTTAGGCACTAGAAAACCTAGAAGAGATGGATAAATTCCTTGAAAAATACAACCTTCCTAGGGTAAATCAAGAAGAATTAGATAACCTGAACAGACCAATAACAAGCAGCGAGATTGAAATGGTAATTAAAAAATTATCAACACAAAAGTCCAAGGCCAGATGGATTCACAGCAGAATTCTACCAGACCTTCAAAGAAGAATTGGTACCAACCATTTGACGCTATTCCACAAGATAAAGAAGGAACCCTCCCTAACTCATTTTATGAAGCCAGCATCACCCTAATACCAAAATCAGGAAAGGACATAACCAAAAAAGAAAACTACCGACCAGTATCCTTGATGAACACTGATGCTAAAATCCCTAACAAAATACTAGCTAACCGAATCTAACAACATACAAAAAGATACTCCAGGCCGGGTGCGGTGGCTCACACCTGTAATCCTACCACTTTGGGATGGCTGAGGCGGGCAGATCACGAGGTCAGGGGATCAAGACCATCCTGGCTAACACGGTGTAACCCCGTCTCTACTAAAACATAGGAAAAACTAGCCGGGCATGGTGGCGGGTGCCTGTAGTCCCAGCTATTCACGAGGCTGAGGCAGGAGAATGGCATGAACCTGGGAGTCAGAGCTTTCAGTGAACAGAGATAGCGCCACTACACTCCAGCCTGGGTGACAGAGTGATACTCTGTCTCAAAAAAAAAAAAAGAAAAAGATACTTCATCATGATCAAGTGGGTTTCACACCAGGGATGCATGTATGGTTTAACATATGGAAGTCTATAAATGTGATACACCACATAAATAGAATTCAAAACAAAAATCACATGATCATCTCAATAGGTGCAGAAAAAGCATTCGACAAAATCCAGCATCCCTTTATGATTAAAACTCTCAGCAAAATCAGCACACAAGGGACTTACCTTAATATAATAAAAGCCATCTATGACAAGCCCACAGCCAAAATACTATTGAACGGGGAATAGTTGAAAGCATTCCCTCTAAAAACTGGAACAAGACAAGGATGCCCACTCTCACAACTCCTCTTCAACATAATATTGTAAGTCCTAGCTAGAGCAATCAGACAAGAGAAGGAAATAGAGGGCATCCAAATTGGTATAGAGGAAGCCAAACTGTCACTGTTCGCTGACGATATGCTCATTTATTTTGAAAACCCTAAGGACTCCTCCAGAAGGCTCCTTGAACTCATAAAAGAATTCAGCAAAGTTTCCAGATACAAGATTAATGTACACAAATCAGTAGCTCTTCTATACACCAACAGCAACCAAGGAGAGAATCAAAACAAGAACTCAACCTCTTTTACAATAGCTGAAAAAAAATGCTTTTGAAAGAAATCGTAGACAAACAAATGGAAACACATCCCATGCTCATGGATGGGTAGAATCAATATTGTGAAAATGGCCATACTGCCAAAGCAATCTATAAATTAAACACAATCCCCATCAAAATACCATCAGCATTCTTCACAGAATTAGAAAAAACAATTCTGTAATTCGTATGGAACCAAAAAAGATCCTGCATAGCCAAAGCAAAACTAAGCAAAAAGGTCAGATCTGGAGGCATCACACTACCTGACTTCAAATCACCATACTGCTAAAAGCAATCTACAAGCAAATGCAATAAAACAAAGATGAATACCTGGCACCTAATTAAACTAAAGAGCTTTCACATGGCAAAAGGAACAGTCTTCAAACTGAACGAACAATCCACAAAGTGGGGGAAAATATTCATAAACTCTGCATCTGACACGGGACTAATATCCACAATCTACAATGAACTCAAACAAAGCAGTAAGAAAAAACAAACAAACAAACAAAAATCCCATCAAAAAGTGGGCTAAGGAGGTGACCAGACAATTCTCAAAAGAAGATATACAAATGGCCAACAAAAATATGGAAAAATGATCAAAATCACTAATGATCAGGGAAATTCAAATCGAAACCACAATGCAATACCCTTACTCCTGCAAGAATGGACATAATCAATAAATCAAAAAACAGTAGATGTTGGCATGGATGCAGTGAACATGGAACACTTCTACACTGCTGGTGGGCATGTAAATTAGTACAGCCACTATGGAAAACAGTGTGGAGATTCCTTAAATAACTAAAAGTAGAGCTACCATTTGATCCAGCAATCCCACTACCGGGTATCTACCCAGAAGAAAAGAAGTCATTCTTCGAAAAAGATACTTGCACACGCATGTTTAGAGTGGCATAATTCACAACAGCAAAATCGTGGAACCAACCCAAATGCCCATCACTCAACGAGTGGATAAAGAAATCATATATATGATGGATATATATACACATCATATATATCATATTTATATACACATCATATATATATGATGGAATACTATGCAGCCATAAAAAATAAATGAATTAATAGCATTTTCAGTGACCTGGATGAGACTGGAGACTTATGCTAAGTGAAGTAACTATGGAATGGAAAACCAAACATCGCATGTTCTCACTGATATGTGGGAGCTAAGTTATCAGGACACAAAGGCATAAGAATGATACAATGGACTTTGGGGACTTGAGGGGAAGAGTGGGAGGGGGGCGAGGGATAAAAGACAACAAATATGGTGCAGTGTATATGGCTCAGGTGATGGGTGCACAAAAATCTCACAAGTCACTGCTAAAGAACTTACTCATGTAACCAAATACCACCTGCACCTCAATAACTTATGGAAAAATACAAAATATATATGGTAAAAACAGAGTTTGAAAAACTCATGATTTTTTAGGCATAGAGAAGACCTTATGTTTGTGAAATAATTAAATATTACAACTGTTGTCAATAATAACTTTCTATACTTTACAAGGATTGTCAAAAATAGCAATTGCCTCTCTCTCTTAAAACTTGACATATGGGTCTGACTACTTTTCTAGGGAATCAGACCTCATAGCTGGATACAGTGGAGAACAGTGTAGCTTTACTAAGTGTGGATACATTTGTAAACCAGGGATCACCATGCTGTGTGTGTACTGTGTGATTGTTAGTAATTTTTTTAACTTAATTTGAACCTGTGTTTTCTCAACTAATTTTTGCTAGTCTGTGTCTTTGCCATCAACTATCCAGCTTGCTGGTGCTAGCAAATAATTTATTTCCACTGTTGGAAATTATTGGAATTCTAAGATTGACTGTACATTTTGTAACCCATTCTTGCTTTTTACCAACACTGACACCATATTTCTTGAAATAGAAGTCATTATTGAGGATATTTAAATTTCACATATAAGAGAGAAATAACAGCATAATAATACTGATTATAGAAAATATAGAAAACTGTAACTCCTCTAACTCATTGTATTTATGGGAGAACAGGAAACATAAAAAAGCAAATAATTATCAACTTTGCATACCAATGTTGATCTAATTACAAAATATATGATAACAAGTAAATACAGCTATCTGTACCTGTGCAATTGGCTGACCTGTGAAAGTTACTTAACAAAATGAGATACATAATTTAAAAAAATGAAATTATACCTGATGCTTGTGCCATTTTAAGTTAATTCTGTGATCTCAAAAGCAGTATTTTGAGGAATTCACATTTCCAAATAATGCAATTTGAGAGTTTTATATAGGTTATATGTTTAAAGTCTTTATAATATTCAAAGCAACTTTGCTTTGTAATAAATTTCTATAAAACATTTTAAGACAACAAATTATAAATACATTGTTTTTATTGAAAGAAAAAAGAAGTTTAAAAATGCATGTGTATATTGAGCAGAACAATTAAAAGTGATTAGTGAAGACACAATTATTTTTAAGTTGTGAATAAAATTATTTGCATTAAAATGCATAAGTATATCCTAAATATTGTGTGAGACATAATAAACAATTATGTGTTACATAGCATGTTGAAAAATATTGGACAATGTATATCTGTATGTGTTAATTCTGGCAACCCTAACTTGAATAGCAATTTATGTAACCTAAATACATGTCTGGTTGATGCTGAAAATCTACTGCAACATTCTAGTATCAAAACAAATATTACAGATTCTGTCAATGACTTTTGCTTTGCTACATCTGTAAAGCTAATGAAATTATTTCAATTGTTAAATTGATCATTGTTTTTATGCCAACTAATCTCTATTGCTTATGGAATACACCATTTCCACTTACCTTACAATAAAAAAAGTTACAGGTATTAAATTTGCATTATGAAATGCCCACATTACATTTTTCAAGGGCTCCAAGTATTTTGAAAAATAGACCTCAAAGACATGATATAAGGATGTTCAACCTTAAGCAGAATAAGTCCACCAATGTAACAAGAATGGAAGATACTCTAGAAAGTAAATAGTCTAATGATGTGGAATTTTAGAAATGTGTTGTTTAAAAGTACAATCATGAAATAAGCATGTGATTAACTATAAGCTTTAAGACTGATTAACCTAATGAAAACAAAAGAAATTAAAGTTGACATTCTACGTGATGTTTCTGGTAAACCTAATAATTTCCCTGTCTTTTGCAATAAAATGTAACTAGAGCATAATACATTTACAGGCTGACATTAAATATTTTAATTAAATCTTATTCTATCAAAATCATTAGAGATCAGTAGATTAGATGATCTATCTGGTACAATTCATGTCAATGGTAAATTTTAACACTTGGTCAGTTTTTCCATTACCATGTCAAAGATATAGCACAACAACTGCACACATGCAAACTCCCACACACTTTTATATAGTGTAAATTGCAAATTACATTACAATACATAATGAAATGCCTTATCTGTTCAGTGGCTATAGCCATCTATGGACCATCCACTTTACCCACAGAGGCAGAGGTTACAGTGAGCCAAGATTGCTCTATTGCACTCCAGCCTGAGTGACAGAGTGAGACTCTGTATCAAAAAAAAAAAAAAAAAAAAAAGGAGATTGCCAACATAAACACAATTGTGTAGATTTTAAGAATAACACAGAATAGTAATATTTTATAGAAATGTTTTTAAAGTATAGATAAAATGAAAAATCATTTAGGAAAATGTACATTTTCCTAGGCAACGAAGGCAAGCCATTATCCATGGGAAAACTTTTGAAAGTGAAATAATAACCTCAGAAGTATCATCAGGACCTAAGACCTCTAGAGGCTAGAGCTGAAATCTTTACATATATAAAATCATATGCATTAGTCAGGGTTCTCTAGAGGGACAGAACTAATAGGATGGATATACATATATATATATATAAAGGGGAGCGTATTAAGTATTAACTTACATGGTCACAAGGTCCCACAATAGGCCGTCTGCAAGCTGAGGAGCAATGAGAGACAGTTCAGGTCCCCAAACTGAAGAACTTAGAGTCTGAGGTTCGAGGGCATGAAGCATCCAGCACAGGAGAAAGAAGAAGGCCAGAAGACTCAGCAAGTCAGATGCTTCGACCTTCTTCTGTCTGCTTTATTCTAGCCCCCCGGCAGCTGATTACCCGTGGTGCCCACCCAGATTAAGGGTGGGTCTGCCTTTCTCAGCCGACTGACTCAAATGTTAATCTCCTTTGGTAACACCCTCACAGACACACCCAGGATCCCTTCGCATCCTTCAATCCAATCAAGCTGACACTCAGTATTAACCATCACATCATATTATTATGCACAATTACAGAGAATAGACAAAAAATTGAAATGTTTTCCATTGTATTTAATAATCTTGAATAGCTACATGATCTGAGGTCAAATTAATGCAACAAATCATAAGTCAGCTTAATCTTCATTAGGAACATATGTGTAAAAGTTCAAAATAAAAATTGTACTATTTAAAATGTTTTTGTTTATTCAAAGAATGTTGAAATGTGATCAGTTTTTTCTTTTTGAGGAAATACAGGATGCATTAAACATTGGAGAATCGCTTACGATGATGCATCATAACATCACAAAAGCCCTATGATGAAATTTTTGAAAGGATGGTGCAGTGCATAACATTTCTAGAAAAACAGAAATGATCAAAAACCAGAAATGAAGGCTGGGTTTATTCAGGCAGGCAGGACATAAAAGCAAACCTGAAATAAGTCCTCAGTATATGTTTGTGTGATGCATGATTAAATGAATGAGTAGAAGGAGAGATGAAGGGTCGATGACTAGCAGCATCACTTGCATAACATAAAACATTTCTTTTAAATTAATGTTCTTCAAATAAAAGTATTTTAAATATTATTTTTCTCATTGTACAATATATTTCACTTAATTCAAGACCTCAGCTTTCATCATGTATACCTTTATGATGTAAACTTTTATTATTACACAGAAAGTGTGATATAATAATTTAATTCATATAAATTAGAATTCATATAGACTATAGAATTTTCATATAAAATGTTAATTCTATTCCATATAAATAGAATTCATATAGATTCTAATTATGAGAAAAAAACTCTTATGACATGTTTTCTGTTTCCTTTACATTTCTTTGCTAACATTTAAGAATGAGAATATAATTTTCTAGTATCCAACATATACTAAATTTAAAAACACACAAGTTATTCTAATGCATATATTTGTGTTCAAAACGTTTTCCAGGCATTTATTTTATTTTGGTTCATGATACAATGACATATCATTAATCATTAAAAAATCCCCAAGAATAATCCAATATGAATAAATATCCTATAAATTTTGATGCTGTGGTAAGTCATATTTTATGAAATTCTAGTGTATTTTATTGCCTACTACTCCTATACATAAATACATCATTGCAAACTCATTACAAACATGTGAGAAGATGTACATTTAAAAGACTCAATCCTTAAGTGAGTCTTCTTAAGAGACAAAGGCTATAGTTTATTTGTTCCATCTCCAGGGGCAACAATTATTTTGGTTAAAAATATTCCTCTCTTTAGGACATTAGATATCAATCTACACTACCTTTATTATACTATTCTTTATTCCACTCACATTCACAGAAGTATTTGTAATTTTATTTATTTATTTATTTATTTTTATTTTTTGAGACAGAGTCTCGCTCTGTTACCCAGGCTGGAGTGCCGTGGTGCGAGCTCAGCTTATTGCAACCTCCGCCTCCTGGGTTCAAGTGATTCTCCTGCCCCAGCCTCCCAAGAAACAGATTACATATGTGAAATCTTATTGACTTCTAAAAATTCATTTATATTTTTATACTAGGAGCCTCAGAAACATACAGTATCTCTGCACTGTTATTTTTTCTACAAAAGTGGTATCTTCTTTTTTAACACAAATAATATAGTTTCTAAAATTACTTATTTTAAAACACAAATTCATCTACCTGTGTTTTTTTAGTTAACAGTTTTTCTCAGAGAATACTATCTCTTAGAAGAATAAGATGCCTTATTATTTGTAGTAACTATTATTCTTACAACTCTGTACAAATCCATTAAGTTTCTTAGTCTTTTCTTATGAAAATAAGAAAATACAGTTTTTACTAACTCATCTAAATTCATATAGTGTTACTCCACTACAAACTCAAAATCATACTTACAGTGGTTACTTTTAAAGAAAATGACATCTTGTAAGTTTGTTTGAGTTATTTGTGGATTCTGGATATTAGCCCTTTGTCAGATGAGTAGATTGCAAAAATTTTCTCCTATTCTGTAGGTTGCCTGTTCACTCTGATGGTAGTTTCTTTTGATGTGCAGAAGCTCTTACAAACAACCCCATCAAAAAGTGGACGAAGGATATGAACAGACACTTCTCAAAAGAAGACATTTATGCAGCCAACAGACACATGAAAAAAGGCTCATCATCACTGGCCATCAGAGAATGCAAATCAAAACCACAATGAGATACCATCTCACACTAGTTAGAATGGTGATCATTTAGAACTAGAAATACCATTTGACCCAGCCATCCCATTACTGGGTATATACCCAAAGGAATATAAATCATGCTGCTATAAAGACACATACACATGTATGTTTACTGAGGCACTATTCGCAATATCAAAGACTAGGAACCAACCCAAATGTCCATCAATGATAGACTGGATTAAGAAAATGTGGCACATATACACCATGGAATACTATGCAGCCATAAAAATGATGAGTTCATGTCCTTTGTAGGGACATGGATGAAGCTGGAAACCATCATTCTAAGCAAACTATTGCAAGGACAAAAAACCAAACACCGCATGTTCTCACTCATAGGTGGGAATTGAACAATGAGAACACTTCGACACAGGAAGGGGAACATCACACACCGGGGCCTGTCGTGGGGTGCGGGGAGGGGAGAGGGATAGCATTAGGAGATATACCTAATGTAAATGACGAGTTAATGGGTGCAGCACACCAACATGACACATGTATACAAATGTAACAAACCTGCAAGTTGTGCACATGTACCCTAGAACTTAAAGTATAAAAAAAGAATAAGTGAAAAAAAAAAAAAAGAAAATGATATCTAGTTTTAAATGCCGCCTAATACTAATTACTGAAAGGTGGTATTAACGATAATGATCATTGTCTATTTTAATTTACTTTTATTTTTTAATGATCATCATTTTTTGATTACTTCCTATTCTCTAGGCATTATGGAATGTGTTTAATATCTATGATTTCATTTGATAATTCACAATAAGTCTGAAAAGTAGAATAATACTATGATCTCAATATCATGGATGAGAAACTGAGGCTTAAAGATGTACAGGTCTTGTTCCTAGTCACAGATCTGAGTTGTGAGGGAGAGCTATTGCCTTCCTGATTCCATTGTCCACAGGCTTTTAGAATTATATTACCCAAACTTCTGAAAGCCTCACCTTTTTTTTTCCTAAAAATTTTGATACAGTTATTTTTAAATCATTATTTTCTGTTAATAAAAGTATCAACCTTGTCTAAAGCAAGTGCTTGTTTAGAGTTCTGAGCCTCCAGGACATCACTAATCAATATTTCAGTCCTAAGCAGAATATAATCTTAGTAATGTTCATGTATTACCTGTTAATGGAACCCCAACCCATCTCCCAGATATTTGATTCATCTTTTTGCTATATTATACTATCTAGAATTGTTGCAAACTCTATAGTGATATCCTTTAGAATGACTACGTATACTATCACAAGAGAGTGAAAGGTAGGCACAAAATGCAAAGGCAGTATATGGTCATCACTAACTTTAGTAACCAGTTAGTACTCAAAGAAAACAAGTTTTATATTTGATCATCACTTGGATTGATTAGTACTTAATAGATTAAGATAAAATGCAGTCATCAACTTGGAAGCTCATTAAAATAAATGGATCTGTAATGCCTCCTGGCATCCACCTTACCTTTGATGAGGAGAGTCGGTTAGCACTACAAAGAGCAAAGAGCTACCATCTTAGTCAAACACAGAAAGAAGTCCAATGTTCAGATACCTAGGGACATACAGAGAGCATACTGGCAATGAACTCGGTTTGCTCTCAGTTTTCCAAATATAATTGGCTATCATGAAATATTGCTTGGTATTTCTTGGCATTGTGAAATATTGCTTGGTATATATATATATATATATATACACACACACACATGCATATTATATATATCTTAAAACTGTAATAAATGATTTCAACCTATACTTTACAACTATATATAAATGTATATATTTAAGATATATATATCTTAAAACTGTAATAAACTATTTCAACCTATAGTTTGCAACATTTTAGTACTACGATTTTCAAAAATACCAAAAATTTAACAAAATTTTACAGCGAACATCAGTTTACTTGACACCTAGATATCAGCATTGATACTGTACAATATTTGTTTTATCTGTCCATCTTTCCACTCTCTGTCCATCAATCATCACTTTTTAATTATGATACCTTTTAAAGTAAATTGCTATCTAAATATCCTTTCCCTTAAAAACTTCTGCATCACCATATAATTTTTATATGAAAATATAGAAAATACTATTTTGTTTACTCCTATTTCTTTGGGGTATGAGAATTTTAAAAAATTGAGTAGTTTTGATAGTGTTATCTATTGAATCTTTCAAATTAATGCAGTGATGGCACTGTCATGATTTATAAGTAATAAGGCTTGTGCAAAGGAAATGGCTGTTGTTTCTGATCATGCATAACATGTCTAAATTAAAAACACGGTTGTAAACTGAAGATGCTGTCACTTTTGCTGCAGCACAGCAAACAAATTTAGTTCATAAATCCTTCAGCAGTGCAGCCTCAGACCTCTTCTCTAAGCACCTACATCCTCACCATAGAAATATTTTAATTACCTTCCTCCACTGCAAGTTATCTGTTTATGGCAAGAGACAGGAGTATATGACAGGGGTCTACAACGTCATTGTGTGACCTCTGTGGCACCAGTACAGCCAAAAGAATTGCTGAGGACTTCAGGCACTTTGAGTTTGGATCAAAAGAACTCTACTGGAGGCAGTTAAATAAAACATTTCTCAACATTTTCAATTGATATTATTTCTGCCTAAAAGGGACTTCAGTTGAATTAATGAGATCACGCTTTCTATGGACTCTTGAGCTTTCATTTGGAGAAAACAGATTTTCATTGTTGGTTTTTCATGGCCCCATTTAATCAGTAATCTAACCTTATGAATACAGTTTCATTTTACATGACTTTTTGCTCTCTCATTTAGCAATTTCTACTGATGCCTTAAAACATTTCATGATCCATTTATTTCCTTATCAAAAGATTGCCAGCCCCTTATTTGCACAGTGATAGTACTGTAGAGACAAAAATAAACTGCCCTTAATGAGCTTATAGTGTTTTAAATAAACATATAAGCAGTTGTTTATAAAATCTTCAGTTAGAATTTACCTTTGCAATGATTAGCCATTAGTCATTATATGAGAAATAATAATAGTGCCTACATATAGGACAATTTTTATTTATCTTGATTAGATAAGGATGTTGTTTTAAAAATACCACAATTCATAGTTGAGAACAATAAAATGCCTTTCTAATTTCTTTCGCTTTTCTTTTCAGACATTTTCCCATTACTTATAAACTACTGATATAATAAAATCATAAGGTATGTTAGTGATAGGATCAAGTAATCTATACCTAGAATGAAAACTAAAAATAAGATAGCAGCTTAGTACATTGCTTAGTATGTAGTAAGTGATATTTTTTGAGGGATGAGGTCTTGCTATGTTGCCCAGGATGGTCTTGAACTCTAGGCCCCAAGAAATTCTTCTGCTTCAGTCTCTCAAAGTGCTGGGATTACAGGTATAAGCCACTGGGCCCAGCACAGTAAGTGACTTATTAATATCAATTGCTACTAGCCCAACTAATACTATCACCATCACTCTTCTTTGTGCTCTTTTTAAATTTTTTTTTTTTTTATTTTACTTTAAGTTCTAAAATACATGTGCTGAACTTGTAGGTTTGTTACACAGGCATACATGTGCCATGATGGTTTGCTGCACCTATCAATCCATCATTTAGGTTTTCAGTCCTGCATATATTAGGCATTTGTCCTAATGCTCTCCCTTCCCTTGCTTCCCACACCCAGAGAGGCCCCACTGTGTGATGTTCCCCTCCCTGTGCCCATGTGTTCTCATTGTTCAACTCCCACTTATGAGTGAGAACATGCAGTGTTTGGTTTTTCTGTTCCTGTGTTAGTTTGCTGAAGATGATTGTTTCCAGTTTCATCCATCTCCCTGCAAAGGACATGAACTCATTCTTTTTTATGGCTGCATAGTATTCCATGGTGTATATGTGCCACATTTTCTTTATCCAATCTATCACTGATGGGTATTTGGATTGTTTCCAAGTCTTTGCTATTGTGAACAGTGCTGCAATAAACATACATGTGTATGTGTCTTTATAGTAGAATGATTTATAATCCTTTGGGTTTATACTTAGTAATGGGATTGCTGGGTCAAATGGTATTTCTGGTTTTAGTTCCTTGAGGAATTGCCACACTGTCTTCCACAATGTTTTTGAAAATATTAATGAAATAGATTGACCACTAGCTTGACTAATAAAAAGGAAGAGAGAAGATTCAAATAGACACAATAAAAAACGATAAAGGGGATATCACCACTGATTCCACAGAAATACAAACCACTATCAGAGAATATTATAAACACCTCTACGCAAATAAACTAGAAAATCTAGAAGAAATGAGCCGGGAGTGGTGGCTCACGCCTTTAATCCCAGCACTTTGGGAGGCCACGGCCGGAGGATCATGAGGTCAGGAGTTCAAGACTAGTCTGGTCATAATGGCAAAACCCCATCTCTACTAAAAATACACACACACACACACACACACACACACACACACACACACAAATTAGCTGGGCGTGGTGGCAGGTGCCTGTAATCCCAGCTACTCGGGAAGCTGAGGCAGGAGAATCGCTTGAACCCGGGCAGCAGAGGTTGCAGTGAGACGAGTTCTTGCCACTGCACTCCAGCCTGAGTGACAAAGCAAGAATCCATCTCAAAAAAACAAAAAAAAAAAAAAAGAAAGAAAATCTAGAAGAAATGGATACATTCCTGGATACGTACACCTTCCCAAGACTCAATCAGGAAGAAGTCAAATCCCTAAATAGACCAATAACAAGTTCTGAAATTGAGGCAGTAATTAATAGCCTACCAACCAAAAAAAAAAAAAGCCCAAACAAATATACTGTTTTTTATAGTGATAATAAAAATGATAATAATGATTTTTGGTATTATGTAGCTCATGTTAGAGAGAGTGGTATACATACCAGACACGTCTGTCACTAATTTCACTCTGGGGTTTCTGGTTGCTCAAGGAAAATGGGAGAAAATTAGGGACATGATTCTGATTGTTTATAATACAAAAACCATTTTGGATGAGGAAGAGATACAACAACTCCTATTACAGAGTCACTGAAAATAACCTTCGATAAATTCTCATAAAAATAAAATGGTGCAACTTAGTAAACAGTAAGGTCAATACCGTTTCATAATACAGGCATCCTAGATCTTTTAAAATCCTTCAAATTTGGCACATGGTGTTAAACTAATTTTAGTTCAATAAAGACAATTCTAGGCCAAGTAAGGCTAAAATGGATAGTTCTATGATTATCTGAATTAACTCAAGTACATATTTTGAGCATCTAATGAATGAATAAATCACATATTCTATAAGAAACATGTAGTTCCTTATCAGCATTGTGTCACATTCATAGAAATGTCAATCCAGAAACCAAAGTAGATGCAAAAAAATTTTAATCTCTTGTAGAAAATGAAAATAAATGTGATCTGTAGCACTCAGTCCTACTTTTTAAAGTTTCCTTTTCTTCCAGGTACATGCTGAACTAAACTATTCTAGAAATGGTTGGCTTGTATTTCTCACAGTTTTATCATCTGCCTTTTAACTCCCTTGCACATATCACAGAGCATCCTACAAGACCTTCCAACTGCCTTGACTCACCCCACTTGTTGAAGTTGCCATACTCTGATGCATTTCTGTAACATACTATGATAATGTTCTTTATCTGAATCCCTGACGTTTGCTGGCCTATACATTTTTCAAGATGCCAGTAATAATCAGTCTGTAACCATATCAAGTTTCTGAAAACTGTATAATTAAAAGCTTCACCAGAAAACTTATTTCCAAAAAAAACCTAGTCTCCATTTACCGCACAGGACAGCAGCCTTGAGTATTACCATCATCTTGGAAGACAGCTGCTATTTGCTAATTACACCTTCTCCTGGTGATAACTAAAGTACCAGGTTTCTTTGAAGAATTATTTCTCTCAGAGTTAAGTCCCAGTTAGCTAGTAAATAACTGTAACACATTTCCCCCACCAAAGTAATTATGTGATTATGGTGAATAATCACAAAGCGATTGATTATGTCCACAGTGATGGACAAAGAAAATATTTTATGGCCTCTGGAAAGCAAAAATGTTATGGTCTTTGTGGGATTTGGTCAGATGCGACCTGCATTCTAGCCATATGGCTACCTTGTAGATCTTGTAATGATAGATAAAGGCAGAGACAATACAAACAAAAACAAAACAAAACAACTTAGATTAGTGGGGAAAGCCTATGAAAACTTAGTTCAATATACATTCCTAATTTGAGAAGTTCTGAGTGTTTTCAGACTTCCTAATTTACTGACCCCTTATGAGGCCACAAAGGTCTGATTCTCTACTTGAAACATCAGTAATAAAGTGCATAGCCTCTCTCCAAACGTCGTTTCTACGTCAGTGTATTGCTATAGTACCATGCTGACTTGGTAACTGATTTCAAATGTTACGTGTAATTGTCACTTCTTTAATATTTGAATCAATTAGCATACTGTTATGGTAAAATTTAACCTCTCACTCAAGTCTAGGATGATGATTTTATCAAAGGTACAATGGATCATTCATAAGATGCACCATAGACTCAAAATCTTAAATGGTGGGCTACAAAATGAATATCATAGAAACTTTAATTGAAAGAGTCTAGTTAAATAATATTAAGTACAGCTTTTACTTGCATCTCTTAACACTAAAAGTCACCTGATTTATAATGTATACCTTACTTCTGTAACTACTTTTTTATCTTTTTGTATTAATTTTCTGACTTCTAGAAACACTCGCTTCTAGAGCCACTCACTTCTCACGCCTGGCCTTGACATCCTCCCTCATATCCTACAGATAAAAGCAAAACAAAACATGCTATAACTCTGCCCTCCTCAACTGCTCCTTGCAAATAGAAGCACTGGTAGGAAACAGCAGGCACTCTTGGCTATATTTTCCTTTGCTCTGATTGAATTCTAAGGTTTTCTCAGTCATGAAACAGTACTACCCACAATTACCATTTGTCACAAACAGGATTTTTAAAGTTATTGAGAAACAGTGATTTGAAGGTAAATATTCTTGTCAAATCATTAGATCGTAGATACTCTGTTTCTTCCAGTCAAAATAAAATGGGCAGGGTGCGCTCTGAAGAGTTTAGAAATGATTCAGACATTTAATATTTAATTTAATTATATAAATTATTTAGTCATTATTACTGATTGTATGTGTATATGTTTGTGAGTGTGCTTGTGTATGTTGCTTTAAATATATTTGCCTGGGCTCACAAAGGTATACATGTGGGTATGTATGTACACATCTGCATCTATAATAGCTATTATTGTGTGGCATATGGGAATGATTTAGCTACTTATTAAAGGGGATCTGGACAGGATGGTAGCAAATGCTGTCCCAATGTGGTTAGGAAGTTGGTTTGCTGGGAGAATACCTACCGACTCGGTTTATCTGATTCAAGAAAATGTGGGTCAATACATTTGTTTAAACAGTGGATAATTCTGCAGACCCAGAAATCACTGATTAAGAAATATTTAAATAGATGAATGTTTGGGCCAAAGAAAAAAAGGGAAAGTGCAGGGGGCGGTGGAAAGCCTCGTAATTAAGCAAATGATTTTAGCCCAACTCACATGTGTCAGAAAATGATAGGAGCTGATTTAAGTAGGTTAAATTATACTACCTGGGCTGAGCCCTTTCCAAAGATAAGAGAAGTAGTAGAAGGTAGGGGAGGAAGAATGACAGAACAAATAAACAAATGAATGGAAAGTTACGCAAAGAAAATATAGTAGAATACAACATTATTTAAAGTATGGAGCATTCAAATGTGAGGAGAGGCTTATTTGGAGTATGATAAAGCCCTGGCATGGGTCTTCACCTGACCCAGAAGCATCAACAGTAAAGTCAGCTTATGAGGGTGTTTCCCCCAATGAAATAACATTGAGGTGATGGAGAATTCTGAAGGGGAATTTAATACTGAATTTCTGTTTAGGTATCTTATGATAGTAAGGAATTTTAAATCAAACTCAAGGTACATAAATGCTGGCCTTTCATTATTATTGAACTAAGTCAATGTTCACCTTTGATTTCATTGCAGATCTTTAAGTTGTGTTGGACGATGTAGCTGAGAATAACTCATACAGAGGAGAGACAAGGAAATAACCTTGATTACAGAGATGCATTAGAATTATTGTAATCATTATACTTTTCTTAACCATTTCAAAATCTTGTGGTAGAAAACCTACTTAGGGCCGGGAGCGCTCATGCCTGTAATCCCAGCACTTTGGGAGGGTGAGGTAGGAGGATCACTTGAGGTTAGGAGTTTGAGACCAGCCTGGCTAACACAGTGAAACCCAGTCTATTCTAAAAATACAAAAATTAGCTGGGCACGGTGGCACATGACTGTAATCCCAGCTACTCGGGAGGCTGAGGCAAGAGAATCATTTGAACCCGGGAGGCAGAGGTTACAGTGAGCCGAGATCACACTTCTGCACTCCAGCCTGGGCAACAGAGCAAGGCTCTGTCTAAAAAAAAAAAGAAAAAAGAAAAAAAAAAGAAAACCTACTTAGTCTTCAGGGTGTCAGGAGGATTTCCAATGGAGAAGTGATTGGTATTAAAGTAGCAGAAGCAGAAGGTAAAAGCAGAACCCTTATGATGAATGCATATTACCCCCAAGGGATACTCACAGCCTACTTGACAAAAATCTTAACGGGTAAGTCCTTTTGGTTGAAAACAATGACTGAAAAATTTGGCTTCTTTTGTTTGTATGATAAAAGGAGATGTTTCTTGCCCACTTCTCATATATTTTTATCTCCTGAAACAGATAATTCTAATAGTGTAATACTGCTGTTATGGATGGAATTGTGTCCTCCCAAAATTTATATGTTTAAGCCCTAATGCTCATTTTGACTGTATTTGGAGACAGGGCCTTTAGGGAAATAATTAAGGTTAAATTAGGTCATACAGGTGGGGCCCTAATCTGAAAGAACTGGTGTCTCTATAGGAAGAGGAAGAGACATCAGACATCTCTATCTCTCACCATGCACATGGAAAAAAGGTCATGCGAGGACACAGGAAAAAAGACACTTAAAGAGAGAGGCCTCATCAGAAATCAACTCTGATGGCGCCTTGATCTTGGATTTCCGATCTCCAGAACTAGGAAACAATAAATTTATGTTATTTAAATTACCCAGGCTGTAGGATTCTGTTATCACAGCCCGAGCAGACAACTTCTAATCTATTATTTATTTGTGTCCCTTTGAAAAACTTTAACAATGGGTTTAACAAATGGGAGTATGGTCATTGAAAATAACTCTCAGGTTTTCTATCTAAAGCATTACTAAAAATCAAATCTAAGGAATTAGTGAATTAACACAAGAGCAGAAAACAAAATACCACATCTCATTTTTAAGTGGGAGCTAAATAAACATTGAGTACACATGGACACAACGATGGAAACTATAGACGCCAGGGCCCACTTGAGTGGGGAGGGTGGGAGGAAGGTGAGGGTCAATAACTTCCTATAGGGTACTATGCTAATTATCTGGGTGACAAAATCATTTGTATACCAAACCTCCATGACACACAATTTTCCATGTAGCAGAACTGCACATGTACCCCTGAACCTAAACTAAAAGTTAAAAAATGTCAAGGACAATGCAAAATAAATCAATAAATATAATTTAATTATTTTAAAAAATGAGTTCTAAAACCCTAGTATTTAAACCTTATTTATAAGAACACATCACATTTGTGGCGACCAAAACATTACTTTACCTCTTACCTCTGTGTAACATCAACTTTAAAAATCCCTGTGTGTGTGTGTGTGTGTGTGTGTGTGTGTGTGTTATTGCCTTAGACTTATGTGGTGTAAGACAATTAAAAGGTATAAGGATTTAGAAAGAAAATGAATGATATTTCCGGTTTGAAACTTGTACATGTAGATTTTTTTCTAAGTTCTTTAAAACCTACCTCCAAATCTCAGCGGTTTCACATGATATAATATATATTTAATGCTAAAAAGTTTAACATTGATTCTCCAGGCCAACTGTCTCACAACCAATGACTTAGTGATCCATGTTGTTTTGAATTTGCGGCTGTATCATCACAACAAAATAAATCTTCTGCAGTTACCACACTGCAAGTAGAGAAATATGGATGGTCTTTCACTATACTTTATTCTTTAGTGCCTGTATGAAACACATCCCTGCCAGGCACAGCTCCTCAGTGAGAATTAGCAACACGGCCCCACTCAACTGCAAGGCATAAGAAAATGTTATTCTCTTGTCTGCTCAGAAGGAGAGGAGAACCACAGATAGTGAGCAACTGAAGTTCTTTTCTCACCAAATTTTTCAAGTGGCTATTTCCTGTTTAATATGAATGAGCTCAGTGAAATTCTGTAGATTAAACAAATTACATAACCTTGAAACTGCAGTTGTCTAAGCATCTTTCCTCCAGAATTTGATAAAATGGATAGTGTTGAAGACCCCTTTGTTCACTTTCAAAGCTGTATATCTGTATTTTCTAGTTTAGAATAAATCATTCTAATATACTGTGTCACATGTCACAAATTCATGAATTATCAGAAAGTTGTGTTTCTAATTATATCTATAGAGAGAGTTGATCAGAAAAATGCTTGGGCCCGAAGGCGGTAAACTATTATCACATGTCTTTTTTCAGTAAGAAAAGCTCACTTGTTTGGTGACTGTTACTGGTGCTAACTATGTACTGGGCACTGAATAGGGTGGTAGGAAATTCCTGATTGCTATAATGTCTTTTATTGCTATGAACTGTTTTGAGAATTTTCCAACTTTAGTCCACTACTTCTACCTTCTATGCAAAATTCTAAATCAATATCAATATTTTAGCTTAATTTAAACAGTCGTGTGCATTTGAAATCCTATTATGATAGGGTTTTCTACACATTCAAAATTTTTATTTTCTTGAGACAGGGTGTTGGTCTATTGCCCAAGCTAGAGTGCAGTGGTGGATGTCAACTCACTGCAGCCTCCACTCCCCAGGCTCAAGCAATCCTCCTGCCTCAGCCTCCTGAGTAGCTGCAACTACAAGTATACACCACCACACTTGGCTATTTTTTAAAATTTATTTGTAGACATGAGGTCTCACTATATTGCTCAGGCTGGTCCTGAACTCCTGGGCTCAAGCAATCCTCCTGCCTTGGCCTCCCAAAATGCTGGGATTACAGGCATCACCCACCACGCCAGACTCTACACATTCTAAATTCACCTGCTACTTGGATGTGACTGAACTAAACATGTGCTGTTATCACTTAGGACTAGGCTCAGCTGTTTTCACTGAAGACCTAAAGCCCCAGGCATTTATAGGCTTATAATTTTATTCTTTTTAATAAAAGCCATCCGGAGGGAGGCTGTCTAGGACATGCATGGAAGCTCCAAAAATTCATTAGGTGTTTTTGCAGCTTCTGCCTCTCCGCACTTTCCTCCTTAAAGGGTAAACTCCACCTTCAGGGGCCAAGATGGCAATTGACAGTCTGACCATGGTATTTGAATTCTAGGTCAATCTTTAGAAAAAGATAAGGATTTACTCTCTCCCTTTAATGAAACTTACATCTCATTTGTTGTAACTTAGTCATATGGACATAATCCTTGTCATGGAATGCTGGGAAATATAGTCATTTAACTTGTTGGCAATGCATACACAAGAATATTGAGTTTCTCTTACTGAAAAAGCAATGGAGAATAGACATTTTGGTAGGCAACCGGAAATCACTACAGTCAACACCAATTAGAAGTTATGAAGTCTTTTTTGCAGTATTTTTTCTTCTTTTAGTGATTTAGAATACTGAAAATAGTATTTCACAATTTTAAATAATCATGCTTTTTGTAGTATTCTAAGAAAAGTAACAGATTTATATAAGTAAACAAAATCATAGTGCTCCATACAGATCATATCAGAGATCCATATATGGTGTTATCTACCTTTCTTTTAGTTCCAAATAGCAATTTAATCTGCATTACTTTTACAAACTAGAACAACTCATTGACCATGTGCTATGCAGGATAACTGAAATATATTAATAGATTACATATAAATAAAGAATATATGAATATATTAATATATTTTCCAAGCATGTAGATATTCAGGTTGTTTTTTTTTTTTTTTTTTTTGAGACAGAGTCTCGCTCTGTCGCTAGGCTGGAGTGCAGTGGCACGATCTCAGCTCACTGCAACCTCTGCCTCCCGGGTTCAAGAGATTCCCCTGCCTCAGCCTCCCGAGTAGCTGGGACTGCAGGCGCTTGCACCACGCCCAGCTAATTTTTTTGTGTGTGAGTATTTTAGTAGAGATGGGGTTTCTCCATGTTGGTCAGGCTGGTCTTGAACTCCCGACCTCAGGTAATCCGCCTGCCTCATCCTCCCAAAGTGCTGGGATTACAGGCATGAGCCACTATGCACAGCCAATATTCAGATATATATTATATAATATATATAATACATATTATCTGAATATAATATATATAATATACATTATTTTGAAGGATATATATATCCTTCCTCATCATGTAAAGGTATAAATATACTTCGAATAATTGTTTGGAGTGATTTTCTTGCACAAATCTGTTCTAAATATATCATGCTGTGCAATGGAATAAATGGAGTTTGAATTCGTTAGTAAATGATTGATATATAAGCCTTCAAAACACTATCTTTAGATACATATTCTCTTCCTTGTTAAAAAATGTGTTTCTGAAAACAGATCACATAAGAATTAATGAATAATATATTTGTATACAAAGTTAACCCTGATATAATGTCTACCTTAAATATTTTAATATACTTTTCATTTTTTAGTCTCTACAAAATTAAAAAGAAATAGCCGGGTGTTGTGGTGCATGCCTGTAGTCCGAGCAGCTTGGGACGATGAAGCAGGAAGATCACCTGAGCCCAAGAGGCTGAGGCCACAGTGAGCTATGATCACATCACTACACTCTAGCCTGGGCAATAGAGTGAGATCCTGTCTCAAAAAAATTTTTTTTTAAATAAATATGACCACTCTTGGGTATCATATTCATTACTGCCACCTGCCTTCACTATGTCATTCACACATTAAATCTCATTTACCCTATTCTGTATTTTCTTTTACATAGCACTTATTTCCTATTATACTAGATTATTACTCATTTATTGTTTTAATGATTATTGTATATTTGCCAATAAATGTAAGTCCCATGAGGATGCAAAGCTTTGTCTTCTTATTTTTCTTCTGGTATAAATCTAGAAGAGCACCACTATGGATAGAATGCTCGGGCCAATGCAAGTTTGCTAATGTTTGTGCAAAGAGCACCACTGCTCTTCACCATATGTTGAAAACCTACCTCCTGATGCAATGACATTGGGAGGTGGGGTCTTTGGAGTTAATTAGGATGTAAGGACATGAGGGTGAAGCCCTGCTGAATGAGATTTTAAAAGTCATGGGAGAGTTTTCCTCTTCTCTTCACCATGTGAGAACTTAGCAAGAAGGCACCATCTATGAACTAGGTTGCAACCTGTCACCAGACACTGAATCTTCTGGTACTTTGATCTTGGACTTCCCAGCCTTCAGAACTGTGTGAAATAAGTGTTTTCTCTTTAAGACCCTCTATTTGTGCTATTTTATTATAGCAGTTCAAACCGACAAGCACTAATTAGGTGTTCAATAAAAGTCAATTTAATGAAAGGTGTATATCTTTGCCCACCCCATTATAACTCTCTAAGGGGTTATAAAAAAATTTATAATGTTGTTTCCCTTTAATTCTCCAAATTCATCTGCCCTTAAGCTCCTACAACAATCCTATGCCTCATCCATAGCAAATTTGATCCACAAAATGTTTTTTTGTTCCTGCTCAGGCAAACTGATAATGGTTTGAGCAATTTCCTTTTGAGTCAAAGGTTGGGCAGCAAAGTGAGCTGTCACTTAGACCTGGTGCCTATTAACCAATAAAAAAAGTGCTACTGTTTGTGCGGACTGGTGTGTATATTTCCTCATATATACAGGAAGAGTTTGGTGATTCCTCCTCCGTATTTTGTGCTTCTTCTATTATTGCATTTATCATATCATCAAATTGTTTACTTACTTTTATATCTCCAGAACCAGAGTGTAAGTTCTTTGAAGAGAGGAGTTTTCTTTTATTATTTTGGTACTGCCTCCATCACCTGGACGGCATGATGCATATAAAATACTCTTTAAATATTTACAAAATTTACAAAAGTTGCCTTCAGGCAAACTCTTCTTTCCTCTCATATGGTAATACCTAAGAATCTTAAAATATAGCTTACCAATATTCACTGGAACCTATTCTAGGCTCAGGTCTTCACCAGTCCACTTTAACTGACTTGTATAACTTGACATGACATGCCAAATTACAGGTGCACTGTGTTCTTAGTTCCTTTAAAAGAAATTATGATCTCCGTGAAACTATTTAGGAAGGCAAATATCTATGTTAATTTAGTCTTAAATCATCATGTACGGCAACAAAAGGAACGATTTTCTTACTGGAGATAGTAGAATTAGAGGGACTAAATAAAGCAAAGTGAAATTTAGAAGTTACAAAATAGATTAGACACATTCACAAAAAAGTGATGCATTTAATAATAAATTTCTGATTTCTGCAGTTAACTAAAGTACACCTTTTTAAGGATTTGTATTAAGCACATATATTTCAAATATGTTTTAATTTAAATAATGTAAAGTAAATGGAACTATACCCTGTGATTTTGTGAATATCTTAGAAGGCATTTCACTCTGGCTTTTTACTTTTGATAACAATAGTATAATTATTGTTGAAAATTAAATATATATTGAATATGCAGTTAGATATGAACTCATCTAAAATAATGTTGAACAAATACGTGGATTTTATGAGATATGTATGCATAACAGATGCTAGTGTTAGCCTAACAAACTAGAATTAGCACTCAGTAAAGAGCTAATCAATTAAGTGTAATCACTTCAATCCATATTTTTTAATTTATATGCTAAGCAGATGAACTGAATGAATTGTTATTTCCCAACAAAGGACTCCTTACTACTAAAGTTTTTTCTGGATTTCAGATGGTTGTTCATGGCATCTAATCCATTGTTCTTAACTAGGCAAATGCTAGCTTTAAATATGCAGTATAAAAATCTAATAAAAAGCATACCATATATCACAAAATTTATGGAGTGATTACATCGGAATAATAGTATATTAGCTCAAGTCCTTTTAATATTTACTGTGGAATGCAGTTAGAAACTCTAAAATAAATGATATGTATTAATATAAGAATATAAACTGGAAAGTAACTTTTAGTGTTGATGGTATAAAATAAATTATTAGTCTATAATAACAGGTTATTTTAAGTGTAGTGTTTAGTATAGTTTTAGCTCCATCTTATCATAAACTATGCAAATAGGGAGACATTCGCTAGAAATATCTGTGTTGATTTAAAAAAAAAGAACAGAGAACAAACAATTATGGAGAAGCTTAAGACATGTTCAGCATGATTTTCAATATAGGTAGTAGCTATAGACAGAATTAACATATCAAATTGAAGTTTAACTAAATTCTCATTGTTTGAGTTTTACACCATGAGATTTTTGAAATGAATCACCAAAAATACATCTGTTTAGTTTTCTGCACACATTTATTCCCTAATTTTCCATTTCATCTTTTTAAATATTGGAAATAAATTAGGGCACTAATTTGACTAAATTCATTGTCAACCAATACCCCACTTACAATATTAGGCTAAAGGGTTGTGAGGCTTCAAATGCTCTTATATATGGCAATACAAGCTGAAACTTCAGTAAACTAGAGTTTCTTGCTCATACTTTGTCATCAATGACTAGTTTGTCCATATATCTTCTAAGTTCTCTTCCCCTAGTGGTCACAAAATGAGGTTTTCTCCCATAAACCTTTCCCAAACTTGCATTAAACACAGTGATAAAACAATATGCTGATGCCCTACCTGGCATTTAAACAGGTATTTTTTTTTTTCTGTTTTTTTGTTAGCTTTATCATGGAAAACAAAAACTTAACCTGAGGTCATGGCAAGAAATAAAGCCACTGTGAAATTGTTGTATTGTGATCAATGAAACAATAAATAGATAATTCTCACATATAATCTTTTTTTGTTTGCTTGTTTGTTTGTTTGCTTGTTTTGAAACGGAGTCTCGCTCTGTCCCCCAGGCTGGAGTGCAATGGCATGATCTCGGCTCACTGCAAGCTCCGCTTCCCGGGTTCATGCCATTCTCCTGTCTCAGCCTCCCTAGTAGCTGGGACTACAGGCGCCCACCACCACACCCGGCTAATTTTTTGTATCTTTAGTGGAGACGGGGTTTCACCGTGTTAGCCAAGATGGTCTCGATCTCCTGACCTCATGATCTGCCCGCCTTGTCCTCCCAAAGTGCTGGGACTACAGGTGTGACCCACCGTGCCCCGCCTATATTCTCTTTTGTATACCCAACTGCCTCCTTAATGTTTCTATCTGGAAATCTGTTAGGCAACCCAAACTGATCAGTTTCAAAACTCATTTCTCCACTGTGCTCCTAAATGTACCTTCTGCACATTCTCTCATTTCAGGAAGTGCAGTCACATTTTTCTAGTTACCAAATATTCATCTTTTATTTATTTTCTGTCACATCCTATCCCCAATTCATCAGTAAATCTATTAGCTCTACCTTCAAACTACACTGACACAACCATCAGATAGATCACACGGAATTCCCCTTTATTTCCTCATATTTCCTGTTCTTCAGTCTTTAAAAAGAGTAAACTAGAAATTGGCACTTCACTTAAATTTTTAAATGGTTTCACACTTCACTCACAATAAAAGATAAAGTTGTTAACAAGCCCTATAAAGCCCCTCACACTGTCTGCATCAGTTTCTTTGCTGTCCTTGAACTGGCCAAAGACACTCTCACCACACCACGCTCTTCCCCCTGTTTACAGAGCTCTCTTTCCACATATTTTCAAGCTTCTGTGTCCCTAACTGTGCTTTTCTTTTCATTGAACATATTGCCATCTAAGATGTAAATTTATATATATATCTGTATCTATAATCTATAGTCTATATATATATATAGACTACATAGACAATAGGGGTAGATATCTATAGGCTAAACATATAGTCTATATATAGATTTTATATATATTTATACAGATAGATTATATATAATTTATATAAATCTATATATTTATATATAACATAGATTATATATAAATTATATATAAATTATATATAATCTAAATACATAGTCTATATATAGATTATATATTTAATACATAATATATAATATATATACCTTTTAGAAAGTATATGTGTATACTTTCGAAAGTACAAACTTATTTGCATAAATGTATATCTACTAATTTACGTATCATAATGTAAATATGTGATGTAAACTTATCATTCATAAAGTCAATGATGAATTGCATATTTTCGCCAAAAACAGCTTGATATTTATCTCACAGTAAATTTCACAAATAGACATAAACAATTAAAAATATGTTTGAACATCTTAATGATTCTAAACAATGATCTAGAGACTGTTAATAATTGTAAATTGAACAGATAATGAATAGTTTCCCAGATATTTTAGCTTTGGTGTTTGAGATATAGAAATGGATCTCTGCTGTGTGATTTGCTATAGCCAAGATGTGAATTATATTTACTATGGTCTTATAGAATACTGCACAATAAATGCTTGGCAACTTTTATATCAATCAATTACAAATTTCAATAATCACTGGATGAATTTTATCAGGACTTGATTTAATGATAAGGCCAAAATTTTGGGTTAGATTTTTATAAATTTTGTCATCTTTACCGTGCATGAAAGTTAATGAAGATATAGATAATGTTTGCTTTTTTATATGGAATGTCCCATTTGGTCAAGACAGAAGTTAAAAACACAAATGTTTCATTGAGTAGTATTGCTGCAGTGAAACGCAGCCATAAACCACAAATCTAATTTTAGTGATTTCAAGGTGCATTTTGTCACTACACACCCTTCCTTCAGAGTCTGTGTTGTCTTTTATCACCTCCAAAATGACACTGAGGACATTGGATCAAGCTAAGGAGATATATGGGCATTCAGAAAGCAATGAATGAATGGATTTAGAAGTCAAAGCACAAAGATATATGTGACATGATTAGAGATGGGTTCAGTACTATGAATGACGTGAAAAGCATGAGATATCAAAGACTGAGATGATATTCCTTAGAAATATCAACTCTGCCATGGCCAGCCTGATGTCAAAATGCATTAAAGACTCCTTGCAATCTAGAGTATTTATCCAACTAGGAATATAACATTTGCTTAGATTTCAAATCTTATGTTTAATACACGATAATCATGGGTAATAAATTTTTCACAAATTAGATTTCACTTGACAGCTGGGATGATTTATTAGGCTCATGGATTCATTTAAAATTCAATACCTTTGGGTGCTGCATCATCACTGAACGTACTAAGCCAAATTCTCCCACTGAGTAAGTTGCTTTTCAAGCTCCTAGGGTCCTATTAAATTAAGTTCTTCAGTAGAGTAAATGCTTCCCTGGTGTTTCAATGAGTTAACATATCCTACACTGGGGAAGTACATAAGAGTAACATAAAAAATAGTAGCACATCATTTTTTTAAAAAAATTAAATAGTGCTCTACTTGCTCGATTATAGTCTCATTCTGTAATAAGGGACATAGCAGTATATTCAGGCAACCAAAATAGGTGACTTGTTTTCGTTCTATCATTCATTAAGAAGCCTTTTAACAAACATTATTCCCTATTTTATTTTTATTTCCATCCTTGCTATTATTAGGCTAATGTTGCCACCAGAAGAGTTGTAGAATCAGATGAATGCAAAATTAAGACTAAGTTCTAATTGTTTCCTGGAAATGCAGGTTAAGTAAAGGGTGGTGACTCCCAACTAGTTTCTTTCCGTGTGTGTGTGTGTGTGTGTGTGTGTGTGTGTGTGTGTGTGTGTGTGTGTCAGAGTCTCTCTCTGTCACCCAGGCTGGAGTGCAGTGCCGCGATCTTGGCTCACTGGAACCTCTGCCTCCCGGGTTCAAGTGATTCTTGTGCCTCAGCCTCCAGAGTGGCTGGGACTACAGGCACCTGCCACCATGCCTGGCTAATTCTTGTATTTTTGGTAGAGACAGGGTTTTACCATGTTGGCCAGGCTGTTCTCAAACTGAGCTCAAGTGATCCCCCCACCTCAGTCTCCCAAAGTGCTGGATTAGAGGTGTGAGCCACAGTGTCCAGCAGAAAACTCATAATGTTTTAAGAAAATTTACCATTTGTGTTGGGCTGCATTCAAAGCCGTCCTTGGCTGCAGGTTGTAGAAGTTCGCTTTAGATAGTGAAGAAGTGCTGCTGTGTAACTTTGGAGCAAAGGAAGGGAATGGAATGGCCTATGTTTTCCTTTGGGTCGGTTTAGGTTAGTTTTAGCTTGCTTCCAAAAAAAGATTTATTGTGAAGTGGTTTTGAGGGGGTGGTATCTAGGTTAGATTTTTGCATTTTCTGAATGGATCCTCATAGATCCCTGTTAGTCTTTTTAAATTAAGTTAAATTTGTTTAGAGATGGGGTATTGCCCTGTTGCCTAGGCTGGTCTCAAACTACTGGCCTCAAGTAAGCCAAAAGCTTTGTTGATTTTTTTTTTTTTTTTTCTGAGACAGAGTTTTGCTCTTGTCATGCACGCTGGAGTGCAAAGGTGCAATCTCTGCTCACTGCAACCTTCTCTGCCTCCTGGGTTCAAGAGATTCTTCTGCCTCAGCCTCCCACGTAGCTAGGACTACTGGCACCCACCACCGTGGCATGCTCATTTTTGTATTTTTAGTAGAGATGGGGTTTCACCATGTTGGCCAGGCTGGTCTCAAACTCCTGAACTCAAGCAATCCACCCACCTCGGCAACCCAAAGTGCTGGGATCACAGGCATGAGCTACCGTGTTTTGTGTCTAGCCTCCCCAGTAGTTTCTATTTGTAAACACTTTGTCAATTGGTGGGACAGAGGGTTAATAGTAACTAATGCTATTTGTTGCTTATATTCACATAATTTTGCCATATTAGAAAACAGAAGCAATAGACTAGTTTCACCTTGCCTAAAATTGTATACTGTTTAACATTGTTACACATATAAAAAATAAATGACACATTTGGTACCTCTACTATACTTTACTTGGATAAGAAATATTTATTCACACAGTATTTAATGAACCTTAGGAAATGAAAAGTGAAGAAATAAACAAGTAAACCCTCCTACTTATAGCCTATTCATACACACACACACACACACACACACACAACTCTTTGAACAGAGTTACATGCATATATGTTACAGATATTATGGCCACTAGGAAAGAAGTAGAAACATAATATGATATCATTTACTATAAACAGTAGGGCTATTATATTATTATACTACCTTGCAAAGATGTATAGTACATATATATTCTTGAATATTGTTGTATAAATTTAGTGAGATGTTCTGAATTATGAGTAATATATTCAAGAACTTCTAAAACTGTTTCAGTTTAGTGTGTTTCTTATATACATTTATTGAAGGAAGAATATTTTCCACTTTTAGTATTCTTTTTTAAAGGCAAATGTGACAGTGTCATTTTCCTTTCCAAAATGCCCTCTTTCTCCTTAGTCTAGAATAACTCTTTTTAATATTTTATATCTCAGTTTAAAGTTCATTTTCTTAAAGAAAGAGGTCTTTCTATGCCCCTAAACTAATTAGGTTCTTCTTTTATTTCCCCTCATTCCAATCAATTATAAAACTTAACAATACTTTAGGTGAATATGTTTTTAGTAATATATTTCCACCCTGATCACCCTGTGATCTACATGAAAACAGATGCTAACAAATAATCACTACTCTGTATTGGCACTGTATAGGTGAGTAATTTAAATTTTCATAACAAGCCATGCCTTAGAGTAGTACCCTTATGACAAAACAGCAGAATTAGTGAACTATCCAATATTTTAAGTATAACAAATTGATTTTATTTAGATTATTTTCTCTTTTTTTTTTTTTTTTGAGATGAAGTCTCTTTCCGTCGCCCAGGCTGGAGTGCAGTGGTGCCATTTTGGCTCACTGCAACCTCCACCTCCTGGGTTCAAGCAATTCTCCTGCCTCAGCCCCCCTAGTAGCTGGGACTACAGGCACATGCTGCCACGCCCGGCTAATTTTTTGTATTTTAGTAGAGACGGGGTTTCACTGTGTTGACCAGGCTGGTCTCGAACTGCTGAGTTCAAGCAATCTGCCCGCCTTGGCCTCCCAAAGTGCTGGGATTACAGGCATGAGCCATGGTGCCCGGCCTAGATTCTTTTTTTACTTTCAATCGATGTTAGAATTTGGTTAAGTGCAGTGGGTCTTTGGCCAATGTTAATTAAACTAAGCA
The DNA here is from genome assembly GCF_000001405.40 of Homo sapiens. NCBI lineage: Eukaryota > Metazoa > Chordata > Mammalia > Primates > Hominidae > Homo > Homo sapiens. The sequence continues at coordinate 21,414,062 of NC_000005.10, read as the reverse complement.
ATTTATTATTTTATTTTTAGACATTTCCTGAGTTTTATGTACTTACACTTTTTAATGTTATTCTTATACTTTTCTTCAAAAAACAGTATATGTTCACAGTAGAAAAACAAATTAAGTAAAAAAGAATGCATTGTATTATTAGTCCTCAGAATTAATTGCTGTTAATATCCTGGTATATGGTCCTTCAATTCTTTTTCTATTTATAAGTTTGCATGTAAAGAGCAGATTTCCTTTTGAGCTTAAATTTTTAAGCATTTATGAGCATGAAAAATAAGTTGGTATATGGTGGGGCAGGTATTTATGTCCACTAGTTAGTTTACAGCAGATATAAGACAGGGTGTGAGCTGAAGACAGCATGACACAATTTGCATGTTGTCATTTTTCTGCTGGGAATAATAAACTTGAGTCTAAAATCTATATTGAGTGGTTGCAAGAAGCAGACATCAAAGAGAGTGACAATAATGAAAGACGCTAGAAGAGTTTCTCATTGAAGAGGTGGAAGATGAATTTTCATATTATACAACAGGCAAAGCAATTCAATAAAATTTCAATATTTCATTTCGTGTAACTTGATTTTTATCTGCAATCTGGCGAATACGCATTCATGTATTACCACATGCATATATGCTTCATACAGTAGTTACTGTTTTAAAACATGCATTTTTTATTTACCATTTTCCATGCCAATATTTCCTACTATATTTCCGTTTCATTTTTAATGCCTGAGTTGAATTCTTTATCAGTATGCCTTTTTAAACATTTTCAATCAAACAGTTCTGTACAAATTCACAAACTGCAATGTTACAGCAACTTAGGAACTTGAAGTGCCTGAAAATGTGTCTATGTTTTTAAGTACAATTCAACAGGGCCAGAGATTAATCTTCTATTGAACATATTCTGCATTCTAAATTTAACCTCCAAGAATTCTATTTAAATATCGTCCTATGTAACCTTATGAAATACAAGGTTTTCTTTTAAATGGGAAGTTGGTATTCCCTCATTAAATGAAACCAAATATAGTTTGACATTATTATTGTCTACAATGGCAAGCTTTTATAACACATGTTGCATATAATATAGATTGAGCCTAATTTATTTTCCCCATGAAAGATGGAAGAAATTCAAGGAAAAGAAAAAAAAAGGCTTTGCTTCAGGTTTAATAATGAAGCAGTACACACAGCTTATGATAAAAGCTTCATCTATTACCAGAAATAAATGTTACATAATTACAGATTACAAACGTGACATCTTAAACCTTCCTAGTCAGAAAGAAAGCTAATGGACTAAAACTATAAAAGAAGTGTGAAAAATTAAGCAGAACAGTATTCACATTATGCTGCAGGTATTTATCTGATGGTCAGTTTCCTAATAGAATGAAGGTAGGTGCCTAGAATTTCACTGTTGTATTTGCTGAATAGACACAGTGTCTGTCATTCAGAAGTATTCAATAAAAATGTGTGGAAAGGCCAGGCACGGTGGTTCACGTCTGTAATCCCAGCACTTTGGGAGGCCAAGGCGGGTGGATCACCTGAGGTCAGGAGTTCGAGACAAGCCTGGCCAACATGGTAAAACTCCGTCTCTACTAAATATACAAAAATCAGCTGGGTGTGGTGGTGGGCACCTGTAATCCCAGCTACTCGAGCAGCTAAGGGTGGAGAATCGCTTGAACCTGGGAGGTGGAAGTTGCAGTGAGCTGAGATCGCACCACTGCACCCCAGCCTGAACAACAGAGCAAGACTCCATCTCAAAAAAAAAAAAATGTGGAAAGAAGGGAGTGAAAGAAGAGAGAATGGAAAAAGAATGGGTAAAAAGGAGAAGGATAAAGGCAAGCAATAGAGAAGTAACTAAAGAGGAGAAGAAGAAAATATTCTAAAGTGAGGTAATTTGGAAATAAACTCTATTTTTTAAAAACTCTGTACTATAAAGTTTTTCAGATGCATATCTATAGTAGTTAATATTTTATAGTTTTGAATTAGAAGGCTAAGGTTGTTTATTTTAATAATGCTAAATTTAAGATAAGATATTTTTATCTCATAAAAAAAGATGGTTAAAACTGTATGATTCCACAAACATTTACAGGGTTATTAAAATAGGAGAACAATTTCTTTATATTAGTTCATATGGTATTGGAATAGTTAAGGAAGATTATATTAAGAATCTGAGTTTACTTTAATGCTATTTACAAATTATTAAGTGACAGACTGGAAAAGAAAAATACTTCTAATGTATGACTCATACAATTATAAAAGTAAACAATTTACAAATATTTGTTTTCTGTTTAAAGCTTATTCTATGGATTCTTTGAACCAATAACATTTTCTTGAATATACTATTTAGTAATTAGGAAGAACAACTGAACAGGAAACATTTTATTGCATGTTTATTTATATTCGACCTTGAAAACAGGCATATTATAGTATAAATTATTCTAAACATATTGAAAATGTTGATGTCAGATAAATTTTTAGAATGCAATTCACCTTAAATTGGAATTTCTTCCACAATCAAACATATTCTACCCTTAGTCCACCCCATGGCTGAAGTCTTGGGGTAGCAGAAAACTCACTATGTCCAAAATTAGCCTTAAAAACCTTTAGCTGTAAATCATGATTTAAATGCTGCTTCTTCAGCTTAACCTGAATTTCCCTTTCTGCACTCCATAACTTGAAAGTTTCTCTTCCTGGTAATGAGCTCTTCTCTAAAAATATGTGAGAGAGTCCGGAACACAAAAAAGGAGCTTGATGCAAAAGTATTCTTCTGAAGTGAGATATGCTTAATCCCAGTTCAGGACTCAAAACACAGACACTGAAGAGCAAAGAGACTCAATCAAGAGCTGTTTGTTGGTTGATTTGTTTTTAAACTATCATGGGTGATCTGAAGAAATATCAGAAACTCACAATCTGGAAATAAACTGTAGAAGATAAAAAAAGATATAGATTTACTGGGTCAAAAATATTATTTTACAAGAATCATCACCCATCTAATTTATCTTATTATACCATACTTTCTTATGCCTTGCCGTGCTAAGGATGCTTTCTTAAACTGCCGTAACTCTTTAGGTACACTTCAAAATTTTGAGCAAGCTCAACATTTTATAAACAATACTTTATATATCTTGAGCTTTCACACTCTATCACCAATATATATTTTATACTTTTTCTTTCAAGAATATCACTTTAAGGAAAAAGACAGCTTTTTCGACAATTTGTTTTTCTCAAGATCAGTTGTGTAATCAAATACATTTCCTTAGCTTATTTATATTCCTAATGGGGATTGACTACTGTTAAAATGGCAAGCAACTCAAGCATTGCTATACACAATTATTTGTAACACCAAAGAAGCCTGCTTTGGGCAATACTTGACAGTATCATGCAAGACCAGCTCTAGCTTGGCATAAAAATTAATAGGGAATCAGAAAATAATAGGGAATTGAGTGAAAATCTCTAATTGGCCTTTGTCATTTTGTGACGTGCTATCTCTGTTTAATTCTAATTAAATAATTAAAGTTTGGGTAGTCTGTGAGATGTGAAATATACCTAAGTTTGGCTTACTCCAAATAAATAAAAACAAAACAATCCATATTTTTTATGAAGATGTTGGAGTATGATCAGAGTTGGCATGTAACTTCTGCAAATACAGGATAATTTTAGAATATTGTGAAAAGGGAAAATCATAATTACATAGTGAAAGTGAAAAATCAGATGAAATGCCTTGAAAACACATACACATGTACACACACACACACACACACACACACACACACACAAACACAGAGTTTAGACTGTAACTTAAGATATGGAATCCAGGACTTCTAACACCAAGGCCACGAATGATGGCCATTAGGTTGCCTTCTACAACAGAACAGGGACTAAAATTTCTCCATATCTGTCACTACTTGGGACCAGGGTTATTACTTGAGTAAGTACAGAATTTCTGAAGAACTTGGTTTAAGACTTGAGCCATAAAACTTGTATCCAGTGAATGTATCTCTAATAATCCAACCTGTGTTCAGGGAGAAGAAATTTGAAGTACACTACCAGATCTTGTGTTCTAAGAAGTTGTGCAGGAGTTTGTATGGACAACTTTGAAATAATTTTACAAGAAGGGTGTAGGAGATTAGTCAAAGTGGTGGGAGAAACTACAGGGAAAGGAGCATGCCTTCTGAAAGATCAGAAGGCTCTGCATAGCTTCAGGGGAGAATAGTTGAAGGCAGCTGTTCTCTGACCCTGAGGTAGAGGGCAAGGATTAGGTACAAGGAAGGGTAGGGGAATTTATCTTAAACAGCTTGTTTTTTTATGTTGACCTTGATCAGAAACCGACCTTTGATCATCCATGTGCATGACTGCTCCCTGAAAGGGAGAACAATAATGTTAATTACTCACAGATTGTGTTGTCTCCAGGCTTTCCGCATTATGTCTGTACTGAATAAAAGCAAGCGGCTTCAGCTGTTTGAGGCTGCTCACTACGGCTGCTAAGTGCGGGGCAGTCCCCTAGCTGCTCTTACATTGCATACCTGTGTCTGAATACTCCTTTCATCTGTCACTGAGCCAGGGTCTGTGGAATGGACCCGGCAGAAAGGATGGAAACAGAGTGAGAAAGAAGCAAACCCTAAACACACACTGTTTCCACTCCAAATGAGCCTACACATATACATTCTTCAGTATGAAAATAGACTACAGAAAATAACCATCAACATCAACGAGAGGATTGTGAATTTATACTAGTTGAATTTGCTTTTTAATTTTATTTTAGTTTAGTTTAGTTTCAGGATACAAGTGCCAAACATGTAGGTTTGTTACATAAGTATTAATGTGCCATGGTGGTTTGCTGCACCTATCAACCTGTCATTTAGGTTTTAGGTCCCTCATGCATTAGCTATTTGTCCTAATGCTCTCCCTACCCTCACACCCCACCCCCCGACTGACCCCGGTGTGTGATGTTCCCCTCCCTGTATCCATGTGTTCTCATTGTTCAACTCCCAGTTATGAGTGAGAACATGCAGTGTTTGTTTTTCTGTTCCTGGGTTAGTTTGCTGAGGATGCTGGCTTTCAGCTTCATCGATGTCCCTGCAAAGGACATGATCACATTCCTTTTCATGGCTGCATAGTCCTCTATTGTGTATATATACCACATTTTCTTTATGCAGTCTATCAATGATGGGTATTTGGGTTGGTTCCATGTCTTTGCTATTGTAAATAGTGCTACAATAAACATACGTGTGCATGTGTCTTTAGAGTAGAATGATTTATATTCCTTTGGGTATATACCCAGTAATGGGATTGCTGGGTCAAATGGTATGTCTGGTTCTAGATCCTTGAGAAATCGCCACCTTTCTTCTACAATGGTTGAACTAATTTACACTCCCACCAACAGTGTAAAAGTGTTCCTATTTCTCCACATCCTCTCCAGCATCTGTTGTTTCTTGACTTTTTAATAATCACCATTCTGACTGGTGTGAGATGTGTCTCACTGTGGTTGTGATTCACATTTCTCTAATGATCAGTGATGTTGAGCTTTTTTCCATATGTTTTTTGGACGCAAAAATGTATTCTTCTGAGAAGTGTCTGTTCATATCCTTTGCCCACTTTTTGATGGGGTTATTCTGCTGTTTGTTTGGTTTTGTAAATTTGTTGAAGTTCCTTATAGATTCTGGATATTAGACCTTTGTCAGACATGTAGATTGCAAAAATTTTCTCCCATTCTGTAGATTGCCTATTCACTTTGATGATAGTTTCTTTTGCTGTGCAGAAGCTCTTTAGTTTAATTAGATCCCATTTGTCAATTTTGGCTTTTGTTGCCATTGCTTTTGGTATTTTCATCATGAAGTCTTTGCCCATACCTATATCCTGAATGATGTTGCCTAGGTTTTCTTCTAGGATTTTTATGGTTTGGGGTTTTACATTTAAGTCTTTAATCCATCTTGAATTAATTTTTGTATAAGGTGTAAGGAAGGAGTCCAGTTTCAGTTTTCTGCATATGGATAGCCAGTTTTCCCAACAACATTTATTAAATAGAGAATTCTTTCTTCATTGCTCCTCTTTCTCAGGTTTGTCAAAGATCTGATGGTTGTAGATGCGTGGTGTTATTTCTGAGGTATCTGTTGTGTTCCATTGGTCTGTCTGTTTTTGTACAGTACCAAAACAGTACCATGCTGTTTTCGTTACTGTAGCCTTGTAGTATAGTTTGAAGTCAGGTAGATGAAATAATATGACTTTAAAGTAAGCATATTTGGAATGCTCAAGAAGAAAGACATTATTAAAATTACAAACAAAAACAAAATTATAAAATATATGCCCATGCAAAATAAGAAAACATGACATGTAAAATCTAACTAAAATGTTAAAATTTAAATTTAATAAATTTAATTTTGAAAATTTGAAAATTTAATACATTTAATTTTGAAAATTTGAAAATTTAATACATTTAATTTTGAAAATTAAATGTATTAATTTAGAAAAATTCTGTATTATGCACAATTCAAAATGAAATAGTGAAAAGAAGGGAATAGAAAAGGTTTCAGCAGTATACCCTTTCAAGCAAACAGAGTTAAAATATGAACTACAAATGTAAGGATTAGGAGGAGTGATTGAGAGGCTCTAACATGTATCTGATAGGAATTTCAGAAGGAGACAATAAAGAAATTGGTTTTTGGAAGACAGTTCTCCATGGAATTTCTGGATGTCTTTTATCAGTATTTGTTTCAGACTCTATTTTTAAGGATGTTGTATAGCAAAAAGCCTTCGAAGGTAGACTTCTTTCTGGGAAAGAAGGCACATTTCTTTTCTCATGCTGATAGTAAAGATAATGTTCTCTCTGGAGATATAGTTGGACAGATTTGCTTATAGCCTTCTTTATAAGATTGAGGATTTTCCAAATGCAGGGTTGCTCAGCTCTGTCACAAGCCCACTGTGTTCACAGCATCAACCTGACAGTTTAGCATGGTCCCCATGGAATTGCGGGGCACAGAGAATGAATCTAAACCTCAAGCTTATGCTGCCTGCTGTTGTGTGAGTGATAAAAGTTTTTTTGACTCTTACCCAAAATTGCATTTACAAAACTGTGGCAGGTTCATCCTTAGCTTGAAAGTTGGGTAAAATCTGAGACCTTGCTCAGTTCTTTATTATTATAGGAATAATAATATTTGGAAGAGGAAGGAAGTTAATAATTTTCCATCAAAAGAAAAATAGTACTATCTCTATATAAAGAAAGATGCGAAATACATTCTCCTGTGTAATGAGATGAGAGTGAAAATGCTGTGAGCATGTCTCAGGAATTGTCATAATATGGGGAAAGAATGTCTTTCTTCACCTACTTCTTCTTTCCTCTTGTTGAAATGAAAGAGACAATTCAACTGAGGGGCATAAAGCAGATAGGAAGACAGGAAGAAAAATAGCTAAAGTAGCCATATTGAATTACCAGGAAAAATTATGTATTTCAGATGGTAGCAAAATATATAATAGGAACAGCCTTGATCTCTGATGACTGGGGACCCTCATAACAGCCCTGATTGTTCCTCCAGACTTTGTTTCTGTTGGTTTCTCTCTTTGTTAGTTTACTTTTATTATTTAGTTTTTTGTTATCATAACTAAACCTATTTTATATTCAGCAGAATATAGAGAATAAAGACACATTTCTTAAACATTACCACAGAAAACATGAAGATTACCTACAACAAAATGACATTTAGAATATTAACAGATACCTCATCAGAAATAAGAAATGTTACAACAAAATGGAGTAACACTGTCTTCAAGGGGAATATGAAGATTCAAACAAGAACGTTATACCAGCTAAGCTATAAGTAAAGAGAGAATGATGAAAATATTATCAGGCATAAAACCATTCACACATTAGCACATAAAAGGCTTTGCTAAATAAATGATCAGTTACTTCACCCAAAGAAAAAAATTAGATCATAAGAAAATCAAGTGGTAAAAGAAAAAACAGGGGCTGGAAAACTTCAATAAAATATGCTGGTGGATTTTACAATTACCAGAAAAATTACAACAATATATGCTTTAAATTTTTAAAAGAAGTGAAATTGGCATTTTAGACAACGTTAGAAGGATGGGTGTGAGGTGAGTGTTTAATTTTAAAGCTTGCAAAGGTCCATTTTTGTGTTCGTGATGAGATTAATTTTGACTTTGTTGAAAAAATGTACAATTTAATATGTAGATTTAACATCATGTAAGTGGAAAAATAGTTATGAAGTTTTAGTGATTTTATGATTTGAAAAAACTTCAGATAATTTAAAGGTATGCATGTGAATCGTCATACTGTTACTGGTGGAAGACATTGTTACCTGGTGTTGCTGGTGACTGTATTCACGCAGGTCTGCAGCAACTTCAGTCCTTGACACCTCAGAAGACAGAATTCCACTGAGGGGCATAAAGCAGAAAAACAGACTGAGAAAAGGTTCAGAGCAGGAGTGGAAGTTTTATTTAAAAGGCTTCAGAACAGGAAAGAAAGGAAAGTTCACTTGGAAGAGATCCAAGAGGGTGTCTGAAGGTCAAAAAGAGAAGGGAGTGTTTAACCTTGACCCTAGGGTTTTATAGGCTAACCTCTTTCCCATGATTCTTCCCTTAGGGTGGGCTTCCCACACGCCGGTGCTCTCCTCACCCTGGGAATTGAGTACGTGCAGTGCAGTGTGTTTCGGAAGTTGTACGCATGCCCATGTGAGGCTTTCTTCCCTTTCCAGTGGAGTGCACCTGGCAGGTCATAGTTTGCCATTTTGTCTCTTAGTGCGCATGCCCAGGAAGTTTTTTCTTCCTGGCATCTGCATTCAATTAGCACTTTAATATTAATAGTTGTGGATCATCAGGAAATGGCCTCTCCCTGTTGCCCTGGGTGGGCTGCTGAATTATCATTTTTAGAGAGGCAGTGTGATAATTGTGAAACCATCACCTGATATTCCTAGTGGTTGGGGAAAGATCCCGCTTCTGCCCTGGTCATGTCTATCTAACTAGTTGGAACAATACTGTATGGACATTGTAAATACATAGTAAGATGCCATTGTAAACTCAATGTGGAAAAAAATATTTCTTTAAAAACACTCAAGGAAGCACTGACAAAAATATTTAATAAATTTGACAACTTTATCATGAAAATCATTGGTCTAAAAATCACCACCACCAACAGCGATAAAAGCAACAGAGAGAAAATATTGGCAAATTAACTGTGATTATATTTGTACTGTTCTATTTAGTAAATATTTCCACTTCTCCTATCAGACATGTGATAGGATTGACTTTCCTTGCCTATTGCCTACTTAGAACTTGTGAGACTTGACTTGCTTTAATCAATGAAATCTGAATCAAAGTGGCATGTGTGAGAGTGCAATTTCAGGGTCAGAGCTTTAAAAGCAAATTTTCAATTTATTTTCTTTTTTCTTTTCTTGCCTTTGATGGCTAGAAGTGTCCTAGACCAGACAGCAGCTGCTCTAGCCGTTGGGACCCCAAGTGAGGATGAGGTAAAACCTAGATCCAGCTGCCTCACAGTGAATTTGTATCATGAGTGAGATATAAACTTGTTGGTTTATTTCTGCTTTTTTTATCGTAACATAATTTAACCCATTTTAATATTCATTAGAATCCACATTAATATAAAGAACACCCAAAGCTTTTTTTTAAATTGGCAAGTTAACATAAAAATCCAATCTAAATATGAACAAACTATACACAGAAAAGCAAGCTCAAGGGGCTCATCAATATGTAAAACTACAGGAAAACACTCAGACTTTCCTGGTGGACCTCACTCAGTTTCAGTACCCAGGGTCACAGACCCTACAGGTGTTTCAGACAAACCTGGGCAACAAAATGAGATTCAGTCTCTACAGAAAAAAAAAAAAATTAGCTAGGTGTGGTGGTGCATATCTGTAGTCCCAGCTCCTCAGGAGGCTGAAGCAGGAGGATTGCTTGGGCCCAGGAAGTGGAGGCTGCTGTGAGCAATGATTATGCCACTGCAACTCCAGCCTGGACAATAGAGCACTACCCTATCTCTTTAAAAAATAAACAAATAAATAAATACTTTGTTAGATGTATTTTATAGAACATGTAACATTTCCTCTATAGGCTTCTCTGGAATATACACTGACCCCGTCATAAAAACTTCTTACAATATTTATAATGGTCTACTTAATATTTAGAAAAGATCTGCTTAGAAATAGCTTGCTCATGTATAGATAACATGTTTTCAACGAACTGTTATTTTTTTAACTCTACTGGCAATGAACAACAATGACAATAGACAATGTTTTTAAGAGTTGACTGTATGCCTTTTGCATGCATTATTTTATTTAATCCTAAGTGAAAGATATAATTATGTTCCATAATCTGCATCTGTGAAAAGTAATGATTATGACATAGCAAACTTAACAAGCTTAGGTGGTTAGAAACAGGTAGAGTTGGGGATTGAAATGCTGCCCTTCTTACTGCAGAAACCTAACTTCTAACTACTTGCCTCTACTCTCACTCAGTAGACCGATGGTGGGAAAAATGCTAAACATACACATGCTTGATTATTCTCCTTGAATATTTTGGTGCAGAATCTAATAATCTACAGTTTTATAAGTTTATCATGTGATTCTGTAAGTGCAAGGTATTAAACCTCTGATTTATGAGATTTAAACTTTCTAGTTGGAGTTCTCTGATGATCCTGCATTTCTAGGTTATTGAAAGCTCAGTCACATTGGAATTTATGATTTTTCACCATTCTCATCTGTCATATTTTAATATTATAAATCTATTTCAAATATTGCATAGAAACAATCCCCGTTCTCAAGCTCTGACACAGACAATTCTTTTAAAAGTTGGTAAAATGTTGCTGTTAGTGACACATCTATCATCAAAAAGGCCACATTTTCAAACAGTGTTGGGGGTTAGTCTGGAGAGCTTTAGCTGAAATACTGCTCTCCAGTTAATAGAGGCAGGGCTGTCACTGATAGGACAGAAAAACTGATCTGTTATTCTTTGACTTTCATGGTGGCTACAGATGCCAAAATGGACATTTGCTCACATATTGGAGCACGTTCTCAAAAATCTTTACTTTGGTCTTTAGAGTCTAGTAGAAGTACATGAGAAACTTAAAATACAATCTTAAGGACATTAGTATGATTTGTTAGAAAGCAGAAAATACAGTGATGACAGGGCTATCTTTAGGGGTGGTGGTGGTAATTAGTGTATTGGATCCTGAATTTAACATGAGGTTAAGTAGGAGTGAACAGTAATGGCAGTTTACTTTCCTTATTGATCAATTTTCTGACTCAAGAAAATATAAGTTGATGACAAACATCTTTTTGAGATTTCTGAATTTATATGACAGAAGGGCATGACATATATAAAAATTTCATTCCTTTCCTTCATTTCGTATTTAATTTAAGCATGCATGAGGGTAAAACTAAATGACTTGAGGATACTCCAAAAATTGGAAAGCACTAGGAGATGACTTGAGGAAGAGAATAAGAAGATACCCCAGGTATAGTTTCATAGTTTTATACTTATCGAAATTGTATATACCCCACAGCATGACACACAGTAAGATCAAAAAATGTTTTAGAATAATGGAATCATAAATCCTCTGTAAAATTACTGCCTACTTAAAAACAATGATTCTCATTTTCTCACAATTGCACTTTCCTCTCCTTCTTTTTCTTTTTTTCTCCAAAATTACCTTTCTTTATTTTGAACATATTTCCTTTTATAAAACTTTTGTGGATATGGGAAAGTCCAAACTGCATAACTTGATCTGGTTCCCTTAGCTTATTTATTTATTTATTTATTTATTTATTTATTTATTTATTCATTCATTCATTCATTCATTCTTGAGACAGAGTCTCTCTTTGTTGCCAGGCTGGAGTGCAGTGGCACTATCTTGGCTCACTGCAACCTTCACCTCCCAAGTTCAAGTGATTCTCCTGCCTCAACCTCCTGAGCAGCTAAGACTACAGGCATGCACCACCACTCCCAGCTAATTTTTTTATTTTTAGTAGAGATGAGGTTTCAACAAGATGGTCTCGATCTCTTGACCTCATGGTCTGCCTGCCTTGGCCCCCTGAAGTGCTGGGATTACAAGCGTGAGCCACCGTGCCTGGCCTACCTTAACTTTTTATCAAAAGTCGTAGGTGATGTTTCAGCTACTATGATGATAGATGATAAATCTTGGCAAGAAGTCTTTAGCCATTAGTCAGTATTTAATATCAGCATGGTAAACAAATTTGTTTGATAGATGACTTATTTATACCTTGGATATTTCAAATATTCTTTTATATAAGTGTCAGATGCTACTGTCAGTTGTTCCTCTGAAACATGAAGGTTGAAATACTGATTCCTCAGTTCTTGCACACCACATAGGTCATTGTTACTTGGTACCAACTATGTGTCTTTCATTGTACTAAGTGTTTTACATATATTATTTCATTTTCTCTGTAATGCTCACTACCTTGGTAATAAGCTATCATTTTTGTATTATAAAAATACTGATTTTAAAAAAGCCTTATTAACTTGGGTATGGTCTTGAGAAATTGACAGAAAAGGGAATGATCACGTCTAGTTTCAAACTAGATCAAATCTAGTTTCAGAGTTCACTTGTTTATACTGCACTGTACAAAAGCCATATGATCTACTTTACTATCTGGACAGAGCATCAACTTCAGAAATGAATATGCAGGCTGCAAATATAATACAATTTTAAATTAAAAGCAACAAAATTTAAAATATCTTGCAATCTTTTGATTAAACTATGCAAAGCAGATATTTTTAATATGAAACAAAATCAGTTATTCATAAATTTTTTTCTAGGTATTTATGTGTATTTTACATGAAAGAAACTCCGTATTTGTTTCCTTCTTTTAAATCCAATTTTCAAACTGTTCCCACCACTAAAACAATGAGATAGTAACAATGAGATAACAATGAGATAATAAGTACCTCATCTAAAAGCTTCTGAATGTAATGCATCAAGATAGAAAAATAATTTTCCATAAAACATATTTTTCTGTGGTTTTATGTCTTCTCATTGCTTAACTATCCTATTTCTCTGAAAAGTTGACTCCTTTTTGGGTTGAGCTTTTAGAATGAAATGGGATGTCAAATGCTCTGCTTCTGGTTCACCTGCTTCTCTTCTTTTTCCTTTGAAGAAGAGCACTGATCTGCTTTAAAGACAGCACTGTATCTCTAAAAGCTTTCACTAAGATTTTAGTTTATTTTCTATTCTTTGGAGATAGACTAGAAACAGATTTTAGTTTTCATCTTCCACGACACTTAAAATAATATTTTTTTCTGAACAAAACAACAATCAAATTTCAGGAATGGAAATAAAGATGGCATATGCTTTTTTTTTTTCTGGAAGAGAAAAAGAATGTGATTTTTGGCTTGAATAATTTGTCCTTTGGGGCAGCAAGTGATAAAATTAGATTATTGAGTAATATATGTGGTTACATTTATTAGACACAATCTTCTGATGCCTAAAATAATTAATGGAATTAGACTCAATGTTGATATGCAGACATTGTCATAGCTTTCTTCCTTTTAAGTTATGCTAGAATGCGGCTGAATGAGTGCTTGCTGCAAGAGAGAGCTCTCTGGAATAGACAGCTAAATGGATGCCCTGGAGGTGGAACACTATCCTTGTGTTGTAAAGATAAGGTATCCTTGTGTATAGCTTTAGTAAATGTGAACTTATAAATTCCCTGCATTTTCTTATAAATCATAGGTCAAAATATATTTAGTGTTTTTGGACATAAGGTAAAGACACAGAGCTACTTACATAGTTGAAAAAATATATTTACCTCAAATAATGAATCAATATTTATGGATGTTTGTATTTTTGTAATAATTATTAATTCTTATAAATTTAAATTTTAATATTGGGCTAGATTGTAGCTATGTAACTCCTCAAGCTTGTTTGATCAATGACAAAAATGATCTCTCAATAAGAGTCAGTATATACCTTCAGGATTTATTTGCACATTGTTATTCTCATAGAATCAAAAATAAAATTTATTTTATTCAAAATTTGTATAGTGTAATGATGTTCAACAAATTATTTTCTTTCAGAGTTACATATTTATATATATTTGAAATGATATAATTGATTCTGTATTAAAAGTAAAATGTTTTTGAAAAATATTGACATGGGTTGATCTATATCCTTTCTTCATTTGTTGATAAATTGAAATAAAAGCATACATCATTTGGAACAACCTGAAGGACATTATAGTAAGTGAAATAAGCTGGGCACAGAAAGACAGATGCCACATGATCTCACTTACATGTGAAAGCTAAAAAAGGTGAACTCATAGACGTAGAGAGTGAAATGGTGGTTTTCAAGGGCTTGCGCAGTGGGAGGTTGGGAAGACGTCTATCAAAGCATAGAAAATTCCGTTTACATAAGAGAAACATGTTCAAGAGACCTATGGTACAAAATGATGACTATAGTATAGTTAATTATGTTATATCATATTCTTGAAAATTGTTGAGTAGATTTTTAAGTGTTTTAACCACAAAAAATACATATGTGAAGTAATGCACATGTTAATATATGCTATGCAACCATCAACAATGTGTACATATTTTAAAACAAAATATTGTACAACATAAATGCACAGAACATTGTAAAGAACAATTATTATTTCTCAATTAAAAAATAAATTTTAAAAAGTTAAGAAAATAAAATACAATAAAAATACCCTGGCCGGGAACAGTGGCTTATGCCTGTAATCCCAGCATTTTGGGAGGCCAAGGTGGGCAGATCATTTGAGGCCAGGAGTTCAAGACCAGCCTGGCCAACGTGGTTGAAACCCTGTCTTCATTAAAAATACAAAAATTAGTTGGGAGTGGTGGTGCGCACCTGTAATCCCAGCTACTCAGGAAGCTGAGGTAGGAGAATTGATTTAACCCGGGAAGCAGAGGTTGCAATGAGCCAAGATCGCAACACTACACTCCAGCCTGGGTGACAGAACAAGACTCGTCTTAAAAAAAAAAAAAAAAAAAAAAAAAAAAAAAAAAAAAAAAAAAAGTACCCTTAATGTGCCAAGCTTTGATAATGGAAGAAAATGCTGAAATAAAGGTAACCAATCTCCACTTTGGAGTTATCTTGTAATTTTTCTAAATATTGATCTTACTTTATTCAATTTAGAATCACTAAGACTTTGAGTCTATACATCTTGCTATTTGGAAAATTCATTGTTTTATGATATGCAGACATTGTCATAACTTTCTTTTAGGTTATGCTAGAATGAGGCTGAATGAGTGCTTGCTGCAAGACAGAGCTCTCTGGAATAGACAGCTTGGATGCCCTGGAGGTGGAAGGGTATCCTCGTGTTGTGAGTCTCAAGTTACACAGAACTGTCTGCTTGCTGCACTTCAAGTGCGTGCAGCAAACAATTGAGGGGAAGTGCTGGGCACTAGAGTCATCTTCTAAAAGGTCATGACCTAATGCTCCAGACACGTGCTTGGAAGGCTGGACTTGGTAGAGATGTCAAAAATGTAATTATCTGAGGAAACTGTGTATTAGTTAGGGTTCTCTACAGGGGCAGAACTAACAGGGTAGATGCATATAGGAAGGGGAGTTTATTAAGGATTATTGACTCACAGATCACAAGGTGAAGTCCCACGGTAGCAATCTGCAAGCTGAGGAGCAAGGAAGACAGTCCAAGTCCCAAAACCTCAAAAGCAAGAAAACCGACAGTGTAGCCTTCAATCTGTGGCCGAAGGCTTGAGAGCCCCTGGCAAAACGCTGGTGTAAGTCCAAGAGTCCAAAAGCTAAAGAACTTGGAGTCTAATGTTCAAGGGCAGGAAGCATCCAGCACTGGAGAAAGATGAAGGCCAGAAGACTCAGCAAGTCAGCTCCTTCCACCTTCTTCTGCCTGCTTTATTCTAGCCATGCTGGCAGCTGATTGCACGGTGCCCACCCAGATTGAGGGTGAGTCTGCCTTTCCCAGTCCACTAACTCAAATGTTAGTCTTTGGCAACACCCTTACAGACACACTCAGAACAATACTTTGCATCTTTCAATCCAATCAAGTTGGCACTCAATATTAACCATGGCAAACTCTATACACTTTTTTATAGTGGTGGTACTAATTTACATTCCCGCCAACAGTATACAAGGGCTGCTTTTTGTCCACATCCTCTCCAACACTTGTTTATCTTTCATGTTCTTGGTATTAGCAATTCTTGGTAATAGCAGTTCTAAAAGGTCTGAGTTGACATCTCATTGTGGTTTTGATTTGCATTTCCATGATCATTAGTGAAGCTGAGCATTGACACGCAACTTTAGTTAAGAGGAATAAGTTCAGGTAATCTGTTTCCATCATTGTGACTGCAGTTAACAGCAATATATTGTATATTTGAAAATTGCTAACAGAATTTTTTTTGAGTGTGGTTGTTATTTTATTAGTACCTTGACCGGGTAAGTTATACTTCTGGAAAACACATGCAAGCTACAAGAGTGGAAGGGAAATCATAGTGGGAAATCATGCTTTCTTTCTTTCTTTTGTTTTCTTTCTCTCTTTCTCTGTCTTCTTAAATGAATGTTCTATTTTAAACTAATTTTAGACTTAGAGAAAAATTATAAAAAGAGTATAAACTGTTATTTTATATCCCTTATCTCATTTCTCCTAAAGTTAACAATATTAACATCTTACTGACTGTAACGCAATTATCAAAATCAGAAAATTTATATTGGTACAATATTATTAACTAAATTATATTTCTTTCAAAATTCACCAATTCTCTTTCTTCTTCTCCGCCTCCTCGTCCTCCTCCTTCTTCGTTTTCCTCTTCAAGGCAAGGTCTTGTTCTGTTGAACAGGCTACAGTGTAATGGCATGATTATAGCTCACTTTAATTTCAAACTCCTGGGCTCAATCTTCTTGCTTCAGCCTCAGGAGTAACTGGGATTACAGGTGCAAGCTGCTCCTGGTAATTTTTTTTTTTAATATACCAATTCAAGATCCTACATTGCATCTAGTTGTTATTTCTCCTTAGTCACCTTCAGTCTGTAACAGTTCCTTAGTCTTTCCTTGTCTTTCACGACCTTGACACTTCTGAAGAGTAATGATCAGTAAGAGAATAAATTTTAAATGTTCTTAACACAGAAATGTATATAAGGTTATACATATGTCAAGTAGCTTGTTTCAGTCTTTCCACAATATATATATACATCATAATATCATGTGGCATATCATCAGCATATATAATTTTTACTTGTAAATTTAAAACTAAAAAATTAAATAAATAATATACAACTTTTTGAAGCTTGTTTTATTGGGGGGTAAATGATATGTATGTTGTAAGGGCAAATACAAATTAAAAATTAGGAGTTTAATTCTCCCCATTAAACCCATTGAAAAGAGAAGAGACAATCTTCTTTTACTTAAAACATTTACTTTAGGGAATTTGTAATGGTTGATTACTTGTCTCTTTGAAATGTATGTACTTTTTTTTACAGGCGAAGTAAGACTCTTGCCAGCTTTACAATCCAGCAATGTCTTTCTAAAGGATTTTGGAGCCTCTCTTTGGAATGGAAATATCAAGGGAGATAATGTCCATATTTCCCAGTTTTTGTGGGAGGATAGGAGCCTACCTTCTGTGGGATAACTCCACTGAGTTGTCAAACTATCTCCTGAAATAAAGATGTGAAAGGTTTATTTTTCCTTTGGGTAAAGTCAATTAGCTAACACAGATGGTTATCTCAATTACCTAGTAAATTTTGATGAACTATAATGTGACAAATGGTACTGCTTTAGGGGCAAAGGGAAAACTTTCCACTTGTCCTCTGAAAATCAACTGGTAAAAGGCAGACTAGCAGGAGAAAGAGCCTAAAAAATTTTATTTTAATGTGCATAGGACAGAGGGATCGCATGAGATTATTCAATAACACAACAGGGTACAGATGTTTAATGCCCTTCTTCTTAGGGGAGGGGAGAGGGGAGAAATGTGGCAATTTGGGGGATAGTAAATAATTTTTAGGGAAAATGAGTGGACTTACAGAACATGCAGTGGCTTGGGACAAAGTCTGTTGGACCCACAGAGGTGTCAATGGTTTGTAACAAAAATCTGTCCGAGTTTGTTCAAACACTATAGTCTTTTTCCTGCTATATGAGATAAATTTATGAAAAATCAGGAAAGAGACAAGAGGTTTTTTTTTTCTTTGGTGGCTCTGGACTCAAGCGAGATCAGGGAATTTCAGAAAATAACTTCATCCTGCGCTTTGAAAGAGACAGAGGATTGACAGACAGGAGGGAACGAAGTCGAAGACCCTGAGGCTGCTGCTTGTGTACAGCATGTCAAGGTACCATATTTCGGAGGATGGATTTCTGATTTCCAACAATGACAATTCCTATACTTGAGGACTAATCATGGTTTATCTTAAGAATATAGATGCGATAGGTTATATCTGCTCGGTTATATAGAGTTTTTTTCTGTCTTTATTATCTCTTAAGTGCATTGTCTGTGATCCACATCACATATTTGTTTGAGGCTTATTCACTAATAAAACCATTTTCTTTCTTTTCTTCCTTAGCTGGGAGCTTTGTTGAGCTTGCAGAATACTTTAATTTAATTATATTTCTCCAGCAATGTACAATCTGTTATTAAATAATTATTTGCAGATGAATTATCCCCAGAATACTCAGAATCAGCTTCGTTTCTCTCACTGGGTAAATTGAGAATCACAATGGTAAGAAATACTGATCAGATGTAAGCATATGTAGGTAGATCCTGGTAGCTCATTTCCTGTTTCAGAGAAAAGTCAGAGTTGATACTGCAAACTGAGGATCGGAAAATTTGTGACAGCAAAGCAACTGTATTTTTTGGTGTCTTCAGCTTCTAGGAAATAGGTGCACTTGTTCAGATTAGTTGCCAGTTGCATTTCTCTCTCTTTTTTTTTTTTTTTGGTGTGGTACTCCCTGTTTATTTGTCAGTTGCCAAAACAAAGTAGGATGTGGTGTGAATATTTAACATATAAAGTTTAGATTGAAAAAGGAGGCAGGTAGATGCTTTGAGCAGTCTTGCAGTCTTCAGTGACAGTGTTGCCTTCAGCAGGCGATACTGATCATGAAACAGCCAAGAAATGGTATCAGAGGTGATTAGTGTTGGAAAAGATGAGTAATTGGAATACCAGATGGATAGAAGGGTCTTGGGTTACCCTTTACAGCTTGACCTATAGAATGTCAAAAAGAGAGGTCTGCTTTCATTTGCATTGAACTCTAAGATTTAATTCCTGTGTAGAAACCCAGAATTTGTTACTTCGACTTTATCAACCGGAAAATGTCACAGAAAGGGGACGAGGAGAATTCTTGACCCTCTTTTATAACCTCTCCAATAATTTATTTTACCCTAAAATTTATTTTATCAGCCTTGAGAATGAACAAGAGGAGTACAGAGAACTAGAGAAGCAATTGTTTGAAAGAGGCTAGGGAAATCTTCAGAGGAGGGGACATGTACCCTGATGAATAGAAGCTTATGATTTATGTGTTTCTGTGTTATTTGCTTGTCAAAGTATGCAAACACACCATATTTCTTTAAAAAGTGCCCAGTTCCCATTCTTGTAAATTACAGTGAAATATATAATATAGTTTAGGAACACACAAAAAAATGAAATAGTAACTAAATCAAGGTATACTGAGCTAGTAAATAATCCAGAGTTTATAAAAATCTGGCCTGTTTTTTCTCAGTGATTTTCTTAGACATGATATCTAGCTACCTATTTGTGGTAACCTTGATTCATTATTTTTTAAATTTCTGAATATTTTAGTGTTTAAAATTCTACTTTAGGTTTTCCTCTCCTTTTTCTGTCTTTTATTCCTACATTTTTTCCCCTAAAAAATTTTTCTTCATCAGATTTCCATGAAAATGCAAATACCAGTGTTTGAGGGTTGCAGTTAAGGTAAAGCAACATAATCCCTCATGAAGTTGGTATTTATCTAAAAAGCTAATGAACACCTGGCTTAGAAAAAAAAATATTTTACACTGGCTGATCCTGATCATTTCTTTGTTTTAATTTCTCTATAAACATACAATACAATTCTACCACGATATTTTCCTGTCTCGCATTCCTTAAGACAATCTTTTCTAGGAACTGAATATTTTCACTCCAGCTCTCTAATTACCTAATGAGAAGCCAACTCAGATACTTCTTGTGTTTTGTCTCATATATCCTTTATAGTCCCAAAATACAAATGTGCAACTTTTCGTACACTGACCAATATCTCTCTCTTACATATTTTCATTCCTCATGGCCCAGTGAGTTCATCCCAGCTATTCAACTTTTACTGAACCTCAGCACCTGGCTGCTCATAAATCCCAAATTCCATAATTCTCAGTGTGCTCCCTGAGAATTTCATATTTAGAGCATTCCTGTATGCTATGAAACTTGGCCCAGGCGTTTTCTCTACCTCCAGGACTGAAGAGTCTTCCTGCTCACCCAGAGATGCACCAGTAGTATAGTATCCCTCAATTTAGGAAAGCTGGACCATGCCCTCTGTCCTTCATTATCATTATTATTATTATTATTATTATTATTATTATTATTATTATTTTCATGTCACTGGTTCTCACAACCTCTTTAAAAACAAATAATAACACAAAGAAACAAAATATACAAGAAGAAAAATCCAGAAAGCTCAGAACAGTCAACTATTATCATCAGCTTCACCTTCATTTCTGCAATCCAAGGAAATCTGAGTTAATCTCTCCACTTCATAGGAGACTTTGGCTCCTGTCTCCAGGCCTTGTTCTACACTTCAAGTCTTTTTCTTTTTTTCTTGAGATGGAGTCTTGCTCTGTCGCCCTGGATGGAGTGCAGTGGTGCAATCTTGCTCACTGCAACCTTCGCCTCCTGGGTTCAAGTGATTCTCCTGCCTCAGGCTCCTCAGTAGCTGAGACTACAGGCATGCGCCACCACGACTGGCTAATTTTTGTATTTTTAGTAGAGACAGGGTTTCCCCATGTTGGCCAGGCTGGTCTTGAACTCCCCACCTCAGGTGATCCGCCCACCTCAGCCTCCCAAAGTGCTGGGATTTTAGGCATGAGCCACCA
This sequence comes from Homo sapiens, assembly GCF_000001405.40. Lineage (NCBI taxonomy): Eukaryota > Metazoa > Chordata > Mammalia > Primates > Hominidae > Homo > Homo sapiens. The sequence continues at coordinate 21,393,025 of NC_000005.10, read as the reverse complement.
CGCTCGGCCTACTTCAAGACTTTTTAACCCTGTAGTCAGTTTCAAGGTCAGTGAGAATGACTGGTGCAAGACTGTAGTCTTTTAGTTTCTTCACTACCTCAAATCTATTGAGATTCTCCTATGCCAACTTTAACCACGCATGTCTACAGTCATACATTTTCCGTTTTCATTTCAAGTGACTACTGGTTTAATTAAAGTGTTCTCCTCTTTGCACCTACAGCCTCTCATTCTAATATGTTATGAAATTTCTAGATTTGTTCTTCATTTCATCAATAATTTCAGTTACATTTTTGCCAATGCTCTAAGTTCATTTGTCCATATCCTGTATCTCACTTGCTTTGAAACAGCTTAACTCTAGGAGAACATGATAGAACATACTGGAACTACCATAAATCCATAAATAGCAAATTCACAGAGGATTTTAACACTATCTGACTATTCTCTTGCTAACTCAGTCACTTGACTTGTCTGCCTAATTGTCTCTCTTCACATATCAGAAATCCATAACCTATGATCCCACATCATAACTACCCCAGTATGTGATATAATCCTTTCCCTAATGGATCCCTTTCCCTACTACCTTCTCAGAAACCGCACAGTCTATTGCTCCTTATCACTTTTAGATGGTTAAACTCTTCCTCTGACACAGAGACTTACTATCTGTTTTTAAGCATGTTCAGGTGGCAAGGACAAAGCTGTGACTGTATTTTTATTTCTCATCTCATCTCAACAACAAAACTTATCAAAGAGTTCTATGCATTTATTGATTCCATTTCCACAATTCTTATCTAGTGTCCATAGATATTGGGCCATCATAACAAATTTTGTGGAGAGTAATAACTATAACATAAATGGATGTGGGAAGGGGTGGTGTTTTGTTTTCGTTTTTTTTTTTTTCTTATTTGACCTTTGCCATTATTCATTAATATTCAACATACACTCTAACATGAAGCATTCCTTTCCTTTTTTCTTTGTTGCTAAGATGTCATCTTCATCGTGTGTCCCTCCTACTCCTTAGATCATTCCCTCTCTGTCTCCTTTGTAGAGTCACTCTTCTTCTGTGCACAGTCATTGAATGCTCACTTCTTTGCCCTCTCCCTTGCCACTCAATGTAACCAACAGGCAATCTCAAACACAGAGCTTCACTGTTAATCTATATTATGTGACTCACAAAATTAAATTTCCTGTATATCTTAGGCCTCTCTTTAAAACCTCAGGCCCACATATACAATTTATTTTGTGACAGTTTCCCTTAGAAATCTGCAAGTCATCTTAAGCTCACCAGGAGATAATTAAATCCACAGTGCTCCCATTTGTAACAAGTCCCTTTTCAGTGTTTCTTATTCCACCAGGTGGCACCCTATGTATCCCTTTATGAAAACCAATATTTCAGATTATTCTTGATACCAATCTCCCTCCCTCTTATTCCATATTCAATCTACCCTTATTTCTTGCTGATTTTTTTCTATGTATTATACAAATATGTCCACTTATCATCTTCTCCACTCACCGTTCAGGTCAAAGCTGCATTTGTAGATGAACTATTAATATTTCATTAGCTTGATAACTAATCTCCCAATTCCTCATTGAACTTTTCCATTCTAAATTACATGCTGTAACCTGGGTAATAATTATGAAATTCAAGTCTGCCCTTCACCTAAGTATTAAATCATTTCAATGACCTCTCTTTGCCCAAAGGAAAAGATCACAATTCTTAATAAAGTCTGGTAGAGACCTACCCTGCTAGCTTCATTTTAAACTTGGGCTAAGCTACCTAATATCAAATGCAATTATTTCTGTTCTGCCCTAATGACCCCAGGTGGGGTTTGGAACATTACATGAGACTGGCTCTTCCCACACACCCTAAAACAGAAGAAAAACACAAACTGCGTTTTCTTTACAGACTGTGGTTTAAAAGTTTTTGTCCACAGTGACAGGAAGAAAGCCAATGGCTCTGATATATCACCTCTTACCGCTCTTTCCCTCATTTCACTTTCTGTCTCCCAAAACTAATTACTTTTTTTATTTTTCTTCAAGATACTTACACGAGAACATTTATTCCTCCATCTTTAATTTGCACAGACTTTCATCCTCCTAGAAATATGGTAATATTTCTAGGAAAAAAGGATAAAATAAACCTAATTTTCAGGAAGCAAAATAAAAAAGGAGTCAATGTTTTTTAATATATTATATGAATTACTTCTACCTTTCCAATATTCAAGCTGTATTTGTTTAAGTCTATTAATATAATATAATGTCATATGTACAGAAAGCATTTTGTTTTACTCAGGACTTAAATAGTGAAATCAACTAAGAGGCATCTTTTAGACTGACAAAGCTGATTACTGAAGCTCTCACTAAATTGTAGAAGCAATATTTTAATGGAGTTTTTATGGTCAATCAATGGTAAATATTATTGCCATTAGATTTTTCTATTAATTATAGTTTTACCTATCCTCATGTATTTTTCTATTTAAAAATTACCCTAAAACTTAATGGCTTAAAATAATAAATATGTATGACACAATTTATAGAAGTCAGGAAAATGATGGATTTGGGTAGGTGGTTCTGACTCGAGGTCTGTCATGAGTAAAGGTTGCTGTCATGTTGTTGACCCAGGCAGCATCCCCTAAAGCCTTTAACTTGTGTTGGAAGGTCCATGTCTTAGTTTGTTTGCACTGTCACTACAGAATACCATAGACAGGGTAGCTTATAAACAACAGAAATGTTTCTAATGGTACCGGAGGCTGGATGGTGCAAAATCAAGGTGCTTGAGGATTTGGTGTCTGGTCAGAGCCCACTTTTTAGTTCATAGATTGCTGTCCTCTAGCTCACATGGCAGAAGGGGCAAGGATGCTTTTTGGGGTCTCTTTTATAAGGGCACTAATCCCCGGCTGGGCACGGTGGCTCACGTCTGTAATCCTAGTACTTTGGGAGGCTGAGCCAGGCAGATCACGAGGTCAGGAGTTCCAGACCAGCCTGGCCAGTATGGTGAAACCCCGTCTCTACTAAAAATACAAAAATTAGCCAGGTGTGGTGGTGCGTACCTGTAGTCTCAGCTACTCAGGAGGCTGAGGCAGAAGAAACACTTGAACCCAGGAGGCAGAGGTTGCAGTGAGCTGACACGGCGCCACTGCACTCCAGCCTGGGTAACAGAGCAAAACTCTGTCTCAAAAATAAATAAATAAATAAAAATAAAAAATAATAATCAAGGCACTAATCCCGAACATGAAGACAGACTATCATCTACCAAAAGCTCCACCTCCTACTATCATTACATTGGGGGTTAGGATTTCACAAATTCAGTGCATCATAGTCTGCTTCTAGAATGTTTAATCATTTGGCTGGATATCAAATAGGATGCCTTGGTTCTTTATGTGAGCTTTCCAGAAAAGAGAGTTTGGAATTATTTGCATGGTGGCTGGGCTCGTAAAGAGTTGAAGGAGAGAAAGAGAGAGAAACACCAGTAAGGAGCAAATTAGTTCACTCAAAATTAAAACCCTAGCCTTTGTGACCTTGTCTCAGAAGGTAACATTCCAATCCTGTGGTGTTTTATTTCTTAGATGGGAGTCACTCAGCTTAGCCTGCCTTCAAGGGGAGGAGTATGAAGCTCCACTTCTTAAACTGAGGAGAATCAACAAATATGTAGACATATATTTTTTAATAGTATTACAGCTCATGAACCCATTTAAACCCATTTTAGAACTTTAAGGTAATATTTTAAAACGGAATTTTCAATTAAGCAGAAGAAATTCCCAGCTGTGGAACAGTGAACTTTATTGCTGAAATCACACACATATACACACACACACAGTGCAAACTCATACATGATCAAATCTATAACCTTATTACACAAAGTTTTGTGAGAGGAAAAATGCTTGACTTTTCAAAAGGGCTCATTTATTAAAAATAAAATTACCTTTGTGTTCATTTTAGCTGCAACCTTTAAGCAATCAATGACTATATACTTGCTGTAATCATCCTTTAAAATTAGAATTATTGAAAAGCTTTATGATCACTGATGAATGAAAGAAAGTAAAGTAATATTGATTTGTGGCCAAGAGAGATAATCTCAGGCAACAAACAGGTGCAGTCTTTGAAGGAATCATTTTATTTTACTACTTTCTGACATTATTGAAGCCAATTTTAAATAAATTCATCATGTTTTTAAATTTAATCACATATTATTTTATCATACATTAGGTAAAGTTTCAATCTAAGTAACTCCTGGATAAAAAATGAAGTATATCAATTTACAATTACAAATACCCAAATTGTACAGGCATGCATTTTTCAATGACATTTATAAATTGTGTTTTGTTGTTTGTGCCTTGTGTTTGTTTTATTAATCAAATTAATTTATATAGATATATGTATGGAAATGAGACAGATATAACCAGTTCTCTATAAGTAAGCACTATTTAATGGAGTCTTTCCTTTCACTAATGATCATCAGGACAGCTAGGGAAGTGAGTTGAAATTTTCAGACCATTAGGTTAATAGTTCCAGTAATTCTAGTAATGTGTCGACAGTCATAATATAAATGATACTATGTGGCTTGAATTAATGCATTTTCTTATGTAACAAATAATAAGACAATTTTTAAAAGTGGTAATTACTATTTTTAAATATGACAATTAAAAATAATGAAAGAAAAGAGGTTGTACATTGAGTAGCCATAACATTATCTTTAAACATATTTATTCTTCATTTCCTAACTTTTCCCACCTTTTGGCTAAATCGTATGTTCTTTCTCTAACCTCACTTCTGTTTTATTACTCTCTGGGAAAGATTTTTATATAAAACGTCTAAGCAATCAAACCTAACACAGGATGAATTTCTATACATTGCTATACCCTCTGGTCACTATTTTTTTCTTCTCTTTATTGCCCATTTCCCTGTTCCTGAAACATTCCAATTATTTGCCTTCCATGACATTCTACTCTTACTTTTACTTTTCTGTCTCTGATTACTCATTTCCAGTTCCCTTTGTCATCTCCTTGTCTTCCTACACCTGCCAATTAAATTTGAATTTCCTCTGCATTTCATCTTATGTCTCCTTTTCTTCTGCCAAATTCTCTCCTTAGACAAATACAGTCATTCCCATGGTTTTATATCCCACTTATATTCAGGGGCTCTAGAATGTATAGCGCCAGGCCAAATCTATCTTAAGAACTTACTTTACTTAACCAATTACATCTGCATCTGCTCAGGATCATGTAACCCAGATCAGCATTTGGCTCTTTTGTAGACCCATTTTTTCTTTTCCTGGAAGTCTATTTTGACACCTACTTTCTGTCACTACCCACATTTTAGCATTTAGCCTTGTCAATTTACTCTCATCCATATGTAACTCTATCCATTTTCTTCTCTCTATTATGAACAGCAGTTTGAGCCATCATGACCAATTTTGCAGTATCTTCTTAAATTAGCCTCCTGTTTTGCATTGGACATTTTCACCCCCCAGCAATTCCACCGATTTCATTCTCGGAAAAATATAAATGAAGAGTTACATTTTTCAATAGCCATAATCATTAAATTTCCATGCGTAAGAAAATGTTCAGAACAGTATCAGTGCATTTATAATAAAATTTTAAAAATTGACCCGCAAATCTCTACTTGTTCTTCTAGTTTTATTTCATTTGTCTCTCGTCAATCTCTACATTCTGATCACCACAATCTTTTAATTCATCTGAAAGCTAAGCTCTTTCTTAATTTAGATTCTCTATACTTGCAATTTTGTCTACCTAGAAGTGTTTTCTTCCATCTTTGGATTGTTATTGCAAATCCATTGAATAGTTCTCATCTGAATTGTTTCTTCCTTGGGATGACTTATAAACACCTCATCCTACAGCCAAATCAGAAGACCAATATCAAAATCTTTCATCACATCCTAAATTTGCTTATATGTAATTATATGGCAAGAATCTCTTTGTCTTTATAATCATTATTCACTTATCTATGGTTTTTAAAAACTCTTTTATGTGGTGATGCTAAGCTCCGTAATGTTGGGCTTGTTACCTGTCTCAACTATCTTCCACACCTACCACAGTACCTGCTACATAGATGTATTCAATATATATTTTTAGAATTAGTAAATGATGAGCAAGCGTGTACTTTTGTTCTCTTTCATTACAGTGTTAGAAATGCTATTACAGCATTACAAAAGATAATCAGAAAATTTAATAGATCATCAGAAAAAATCCCAAGATTTTTAGGCAAATGAGCCTATAAACACAGGTGGAATGGACTTGCAATTTACCAAGAAATAGGTTTGTCATACTTAGAAACCAACTGTATAAACATGTTTTTATCTATTAATAACTTCATTTTCCAAAACGCTCTACTTTATATGAGACAATTCTTGATGGAAATACCATTTGCTTCTAGGCTCGTTGCTTAAACATAAAGTTAAAAATCTTTGTATGACACATAAAATTGTGGTGACTGCTTAACTTTGCAACTATAGTGCTCCTGAAATGCTCATCTAACCAGTCTGTGTTCCAGACCTACAAAACTTAGATGGTGCTAAAATTGCGCAAAAATTGTGTATTTCTTCTACAACTAACTTCTGATAAAAAGGGGGCAGAGAAGGTTAACTCTCTCCCCCTTTAGCTTTATTTGCTTAGTGAATTTCTACAAAACATAATTTAAGTGCTATATTTTTCCAAGGTTTTAATAAGGAAATAAAAACTGCAATAGGTATCTTAAGCAGAAAGTGCATTTCATACATATACAATAGGAAGAGCTAAAATAACTAAAGTAGCTGTGGCATGGAGGAAGGTTTTGAGTTATTGAATTCAAAGGCACGCAATCATTTCTGCAATCCTGGGTCAAAAAGATGCTCCTACTATTAAAACTTTAAGCTTCTTATGCCCATGAAACTGGGGATTAGGCACAAGGATATTGAATCCTACCACTTCCACTACTTCTGAACTATTGTCTCCATGATTTCACTTGCCAGAATCAACAATAGCAAGACAGGCTTTGATCTTTTCCATTTTTCTAAGTCTGATTCATATGCAAACAATGGGTAAGTGGTCTAAGCTGCATTCATAAAACTGGCTCAAGGGAAGCTGCATTGCTTGTTTTGTTTTGTTTTAATTTTCTAACCTCTTCAAAGAGTGGAACGAAGGTTGAGGAAACCTGTCCACACAGTCTACCACACACCTTCCATGAAAGGTTCCCCAACACCTCCAACAAAATAATGTAAACACATGCTGGAACCTATATTACGCTCGCACCATAACACTTCCCACAATACTTTTTCTCTTCATGGGAATATCCTTCCAAAACATGCTGATATCTCCTAAGCATTATTCATCTGTCGAATTTTCCCACCTATTGTAAGGTCTTCCAATTGTTAGGTTCTTAATAAATATATTTTAAATTATTAGAATTCTGAACTAATGGGTAATCAACTGTACAACCCGAATTGCTGATTTGCATACAGCTGAAGTCCCTCCTCAAAACTTCTGTAATACATGTAACTTAGGCAAATGGTTGGGTCATTACCATATATTACTTTATATTTTTATTTATCAGTATATGTGATTACAGTTATGCTTATGTTAATTGATATGTATATGTTAACTTTTATACATATGTACATTGTATTATTTTGTTACATAGCACAGCGTTTTGTACTCAAAAAGTGACCAATAATAATAAGCTGCCTACTTTGGGAAGCATTGCAGGCTAGTCATACAGTTTCTTTTTTTTTTCCCCCTGCAGCCTGACAACCTCTTTAGTCATTCACTAAACCTCTCTCAGCTTCAGTTTCTTCATCTGCAACATATAGCAAATAATAAAACTTAACTCAGATGGTTCTAGTGTGAAATAATACAGAGTAAATGTGCCACCAAATACAAACCAATGGCTTGACTGACATAACTCATTGCTAATTTTCTTGAAATGATTCAAAGTATTTTCCAGACAAGCACACACTGAGGGAATTCGTCACCACTAAACGAGTCCTATGAGAAATACTCAAAGGTGTCCCAAACACAAAAATGAAAGGTCAACATTTATCATCATCAAAACACATGAAAGTAGCAAACTCATAGGTCTTGTAAAACAGTCACACAAAGTAGGAAGAGAAATCAAATAGCAACACAACAGATTTCCACCAAACCACAAAGACAAAGAGATAGAAAGAAAAACAAAAAACAACAACAAAATAACCCCAAAGAACTTATAAAACAAGTAGAAAACAAATAGCAATATGGCAGAAAGAAAACCTCATGTATTAATATTAACCTTGAATGTAAATGAATTAAACATTCCACTTAAAATATATAGATTGATGTTGGGCCAGGTGCAGTTGCTCACACCTGTAATCCCAGCACTTTGGGAGGCCAAGGTGGGTGGATCACGAGGTCAGGAGTTCGAGGCCAGCCTGGCCAACATAGTGAAACCCTATCTCCATTAAAAATACAAAAATTAGCCAGGCGTGGTGGCTGGCACCTGTAATCCCAGCTGCTTGGGAGGCTGAAGCAGGAGAATCGCTTGAACCTGCAAGACGGAGTTTGCAGTGAGCTAAGATTGCGCCACTGCACTCCAATCTGGATGACAGAGTGAAACTCCATCTAAAAATAAAAAAAAAAGAAAGGTAGATTGATGGAACGAACTAAAAAATGATCCAAAAATATTATGCTTACAAGAAACATATAGACACATACAGACTGAAAGTAAAGACACATACAGATTTAAAGTAAATGGGTGAAAAAAGATACTCCATGTAATGGAGACTAAAAGCAAGCAGGAATAGCTATACTTATATCAAGTAAAACAGAACTTAACATATACTTATACTTACATAGCATAAAATATAAGTATAACATACACTTATATCTAAAACAGTATAACAATGACAAAGGAGGTCATTACATAATGATAAAAGGATCAATTCAGCAAGAGGATATAACAATTCTAAACACATATGCATCCAACACTAGACCACCAAGATTCATAAAATAAATATTACTAGACATAAAAAAGGAATAGATAGCAATACGATAATAGTGGGGGACTTTACCATCTCACTCACAGCATTAAATGTTATCATCAAGACAGAAAACAAATAAACATAAGACTTAAATTCAACCTTAGATGAAATAGACCTAACTGACATTTACAGAAAATTCTACCCAGCAACTACAGAATATACATTCTTAATAAAACCGCAGTTTCACCCAACAATCCCACTACTGGAGATCTACCCAAAGGAGAACAGATAATTATATGAAAAAGGTATCTGCACCCATATGTTTATCACAGCACTATTCACAATAGCAATGTGTCCCTCACTGGATGATTAGATTAATAAACCTGGCATATATGCCCTATAGAATACTATTCAGCTATACAAAAGAATAAAATCATGTCTTTTGCAACAACATGGATGTAACTGGTCATTATTTTAAGTGAAACAAATCAGACACAGAAAGACAAATACTGCATGTTCTCACTTATAACTGGAAGCTAAATAATGTATACACATGGACATAGAATGTGGAATGATAGACAACAGAGACTTGGAAATTTCAGGAGGGTGGGAGGAGGGGATGATGAGAAATTATGTAATGAGTACAATGTACATTTTTCAGGTGACATATATTCTAAAACCCTTTCCTCAACACTATGTACTTTATGGAGGTAACAAAATTATATTTGCATCCCATAAATTTACACAAATAAAAAATTGCCTTCTGTACTTACTTTAGCCAAGTTATTGTTAGGTTCAACATTCAGCACTTAAATTTTCTATAGCTTTCTGGACCTTTTTTTGATATTTATATATAGTAGTGTGGCACAGAAGTGCTAATATTTACCAAAAATAAAAGTTATATTTTTAATAAAAAATTAATTAAAAGGTTGTAGAATCTCAGGATGGAATGCAGACTGTTACAAATTTATCTAGCTCTATTATGAACCATACAAAATAACTTCAGTGAGGGACTTAAGGGAAAGGGTGCTGGTCAAAGTGATATTGAAAATGAGTGCAGACTCTTACGATGAAAGGCAAACGAAACTTGTACAAAGGCATTTAATTTAGTTGATAAAGACGTTCTTCTACCAAGGGCAGGTTATCAATTCTGGTACAGCTATACACATATACTGGAAGTGAACAATTAACTAAATAGATGTCAGATAGTGAGAGTCAGGATTTTTATTGTTGGAGTGGGGGTTTAGAGATACAGGAAGGCATTGATGCTTGTGGGACTAGGTTAGAGGTAGTGACATCAGTAAGAACCCATGTTTAGCTTAATATAGACATAGATGGTGATATGGTTTACATTTTTGTCCCCTCTCAAACCTCTTGTCCAATTGTAATCCCCAGTGTTGAAGGAGGAGTCTAGTGGGAGGGGATTGGATTATGGGGGCAGATTTCCTCCTTGCTATTCTTGTGATAATGAGTGAGTTCTCACACAATCTGGTTGTTTAAAAGTGTGTAGCATCTCCCCCTTAGTTCTCTCCGTCGTTCTCCAGCCATGTAAGATGTGCCTGCTTCCTCTTTGCCTTCTGCTATGATTGTACGTTTTCTGAGGCTTCCCCATTCTTGCTTCCTGTACAGCCTGTGGAACTGTGAGGCAATTAAAGCTCTTTTCTTTATAAATTACCTAGGATCAGGTAGTTCTTTATAACAATGGGATAATGGACTAATATAGATGTTTACATATAGAAATATTTAAAGATATGTGTCTACATATGTGTAAGAATATACACATTGTTTCTTTGCTCTCTCATCTTAGAGAGCTATGAAAAAATTGATACTCCCTTAGCTACAGGCACAGCTAGCACTTAAATATTGATTTGTTATATAGAAAGCAGGGCATCTTTTAAAGTGGCTGATTCTAAGAATGGGGAAGAAAATACACAAGATGAGCCTGGGACATCCTCTAGTGCCAGAAATTATGAAAATACTAACAAAAATCTATTTGTGAGATATGTCAAACAAGCACAGGGGCCAAGTGAAAGGTCTTTCAATTTCTAGAATAATTTTAGCAACACAATAAATTAATTGGTATATTTGGATTATACCCAAAAATGTAATTTTCCTTAGTCCATATTGATATCAATAAATGATTGAATAAACAAGTGAATGAGATAAAAGAGGCAAATCTCCTCTGCAAATAATTTACATATGTATTCCAACTAAAGGAAGTGGCTCAGCTCTTAAAGACATCTTAAGCAATACTACAACTGAATTAACTTTCCAAAGATACTGTCACAATTCATCTATTCCAAGACCCATACATTTCATATTTTAATATCTCCTGAAAATATAATGCATTTTACAATTCAGTGGTATGTCTTAGTTTAATTAGCCATAATGCAAATTACTTGCTTAACGGGACATAAAATAGTGCATTATACAATCTATGGGCTCTTGGACTCAAGAAAATACGATAGAAAGGAGTTTATGTTAGAGTCTGCACACTGACTAAAAATCACAGCAGAAAGCAGATTCTAGGAACAGTCACATTTGTGGTAGTCACTGGTCTCGGCATGCAACAAAATTCAAAGTAAATAGTGGTAAGGTGGGAAATGGACAAAGCTATGTAGCTAGAATCAGAAGTCTTTGAAATCAAAACATCAAGATTCAAACTATTTAAGGGCAGTGGGGCTGACGTGGTGACCGTGGACCTGATCAGATAAAACCATTACAAAGAAACAGTAGCTCTCAGACTCACCTCCTGAGACAGAGTTGTTCTGAGGGGAAAATGAGTAAGTTTCTACAGTAACATACAGTACTTAAACATACAGTAAGATACAGTACTTAAAGTCCTGACCTGTCCAGTTCGCAACACATCTTTCTTGATGGGCATCTAAATGTCATCTTTTGGTTTTATTTTTGTGTTTTTCTCATCTAAGCTCTGAGAGCAAAGCCTGACAGGGTGAGCCCCCAAAGTGTGTTTATGTCTTAAGAGTGTCCAGAAGCCACATAGGGAGTGTGCAAGTTTTTCATTTTCATGCCAGGGACAATGTCTCTCTTTATTGAGCTAATGGCAAGGTATGGGCCTCAGAATATGTACAGTTTGAACATATTTGCATCTTCCCTTTAATTAACTGTGAAATCTGTGAGGCTAATGAGAAGAAAATTGATGGGTAGTCGGTGGAAGAATTTTTTTTCATTTTCATATCTTCAACTTTCCTGGGGTATAATAAGAGATGCACAGTCAATTCAGTATACTTGAAACGTGTGATGTGGTCAAATTTGAGATATATATATATATGTATATACTTTTGGAAATATCACTACATTCACAACCATCATTATGAAAAGTTTTCTTGTGCACCTCAGTAATCAGTCTCTCCCTCCATGCTGTCTCCAGGCAGCCATTTGATTTTCCATCAGGTAACATGAGTGAGAAGAAAATGTTTGTTGCAAGCTATTGAAATTTTGTGGTTGTTCACTTTTTAGAAACTCTTTGGAATTTTCTTTCTCATATCTTTATTAACATATAACGTGTATGTTTGGCATACTTTCAGATAATGTAAATAATATACTCAGCAATTGTTTTGTGCTGGGCTTCCATTTAATCTTTCAAGATCATATGGATTTTTATAGCTTTATATGTTGTGTTTGGCATCTTAAGCTCACTATCTACCTACTGACTCTTAAATCCCAAACTCCAAAGAGGTTCTGAAGATTCCAAACAATGGCTTGATAGCTTAAAGTAAAAAAAGCTCAGGATAACTCAAATTTTGTGACTTAGCATGCTTGAGAAAGTTTTTTTTTTTTTTTTTTGAGACAGAGTCTCGCTCTGTCGCCCAGGCTGGAGTGCAGTGGTGCCATCTCGGCTCACTGCAAACTCCGCCTCCCGGGTTCACGCCATTCTCCTGCCTCAGCCTTCCGAGTAGATGGGACTACAGGCACCCGCCACCGTGCTCGGCTAATTTTTTTTTGTATTTTTTAGTAGAGACGGGGTTTCACCGTGTTACCCACGATGGTCTCGATCACCTGACCTCGTGATCCGCCCACCTTGGCCTCCCAAAGGTCTGGGATTACAGGCGTGAGCCACCTCGTCCGACCTTGAGAAAGTGCTTTTAAGCTCCTTCCTAAATGAATGATTATTTAGTCTTGCAGTGTCCATAATTTCTTTAGGTCACTTACAGAAGTCTCAAACTTGTCTGTAACACCTGATAATAACTTCCAGTACTATTCTAAAATGTAGATTTACTTTATCACATTTTCTTCTAACTTCTACTTGCCCCTGTTATAACAATCTTCATTCTTCTTTTGTACTTATATTTTCTCCTTTTAAAACTCAATATCTAGCTCCTCTCTTATAATTGTGCTTAAAATTCATCCTGCAGTAGTGTTAGAGCAGGGTTTCTCAAAGTCATTGTGGGGAACTATCGTGTACATTGTAAGATGATTAGCAACATCCCTAGCCTCGACCACCAGATGCCAGTAGCACATCCTCTCTTTCAGTTTTTTTTTTTAAATCAGAAATATCTGTACACATTGACAAATGTCCACCAGATGGGAAGAAGAATGTGGGGTGTAAAACTCCCATTTTTGAGACCCACTTGCTTAGAATGTATTAAAGACCTATAATTGAAAATACCTTGGCAAAATCTCCCAAAATTGTCTCTCAAAATAACAGTATATACAGTGTAACATACACAATATCCTAAGTTATGCTAATGAAAAAATCCAAGAAAAACTCTATATGATGATATTTAGATATTAAAGTCACTATATTAACTATTAGGATAATGTGCCACTAATTCCAATCGTCACTGCTTTCATGTAGTGCTTGCTCCATATTGTCTTAATGTTAATCCTTAATATACACGGCCTAACATATTTATTGATGTGAAAGTTTTTGTTTTATTTTCAACAACACGGTCTCAACCAGGGGTGATTTTCACTACCAGGGACCATTTGTCAATGTTTAGAGACAATTTTAGTTTTTACTGCTGTAGGTAGTGGAGTGTGCTATTCACACCCGGTAAGTTTAGGGCAGGAAAACTGGTAAACCTCCTATAATACGAGGCTAGAGCCCACAACAAAATTATCAGGTCCAAAAGTGTCAATAGTATTGAAGGTGAGACAATTTCTAGGGAGATACTATACCTTGGTATTCTCATTTAATATGCTGGTAATGTAATCCAGCATTTTTCCGAAAATGAGAATAGCCTGGTGGCCTTAAATGTCATTGTTTTACTCTTACTTACATTGGACTAAAGAATGAGATCAAATGCAGCTGAATAATTTGGATATTTAAAGCAATAACATTTTTCACTAACGCGCATACGCTTAATGCCTGGGTGACAAAATAATCTGTATGCCTATTTGCCTATAGGTTTACCTATATAACAAACCTGCACATATACCCCTGAACTGAAAATAAAAGTTAATAAAGTAATTACATTTGTTTAGAAATAAAATAAATTTAGAAATGGAAAATATTGTTGAAAATATTCTAAGAATTTTAAATTTATACATTAAAATAAAAATAATCTGAATATTATTACTGATAGAAAATCTTTGTCTTAATCTCAAATTCCAAGTAGAATATCTTTAGACTATCTCTAGCAATAGCTAACAGAATAAGATTTACAAACCTTGATAGATCATTTTTCATGCCTGTGTCATTTTAAAATAAATTGATGGCTGTTAAAACTTAATTTAGTTTGAGTATCTTCTGGATCATATATATAGTTTTACAGATAGCCATGTTCAATGAAATTATAACATGTAATACAAGAAATATGCCAGATTTAAAGTAAGAATCTCTTTTAAATGCTCTGATATTCAAAAATCTTTATCAGTTTTGCTAAACTAAGGATTTTAAACAAAACCTTTTAGTTAAGAAAGCATTGGTCTCAATAGTAAATCTGCCAATATGAATTGCTGCATTTTATTTTTGAATTTTCTAAAGGACATCTGCCAGAGTAATTAGATATAAAATCCTGCATGCAATCTAATATTAGATGAAAAGTTTAAACTACCAATGATACAATATTGATGCACAGAGGAATGAATTGATTTTTTATGTTATTCTCAAATTGAAAGTCGATCTTTTTGTAAAATAAATTAAATTTATAAATAAATCCAAATAGTGATATTTTAGCTCACTTTTGACAGTAGGTTTTCAGTTTCTGATGTTAACAATGGCATAATTATGATTTGTTGAATGACTTTAAAGTGATCAGATAAGGAAATAATTAGGGTCTGCAGTAGCTGGAGAAAGAAAAAGAAGAAATATTTTGATATTGCATACTCAATATGGCACATTCTATGTCATAGGCTTTAATATCAGTTGACTACTCTCGGAGTACGGTTTGACCTAGACCAGTTTATTTATTTATTCATTTTTGTAATAATTTTTCCTCATTCTCTTTGACACATTGGTTAACCTAAAATTACTGTGTTACTTAGGACATTGACTAAAAATCGTAGTCTTTCAGTTTGTGGCTGCTCACAGGATTTTCTTTTTTTTTTGCTTTGGCTTACTAAATAATCTTTTATTGGAGTTAAAACAACAAAGCTAGTAAAGATATATAAATCAATGCCAAAAAAAAGGAGACAGGCCTACTTATATGCCATTATCTTCTGTTATTGCCATTGGATAGAAGACAGATATTATCATTTTTAATCAATTGTATACTTCATAAATATGATACAACAGATATTTTTACTTCCAAGATTATACACAGAGTTTTTATGATTCCTTTGTGAGTGTGAACTATATAGCTGTCCCTAAAACATAATTCAGAACAGAAAGGTTTTATTTTTAATTATATAATTTTCTTGCCCAAGTTATATGGATTCATAGGTTATAGAATGTATAACAATATACATGTTTTACATTTTTAAATTTACTACATATTTGTGAAACCAAATTTGATATACAACTATGTAAACCATTAAATATGATTTGGATTAAAATAATCTTAACAGACAAATCCAAAAACACTACATTTTATTATTTCTATTTCTAATGTTACCTCCAGGTTTAACCTCCCCTAAGTAATTGACTCTACCTATTATGTTTGTGTTTTGAAACATCACTCTATATTGTAACAAAATGAAAAATGACACAATTAGTTTCATATATGTACACAAAAATTTTCAGTTTTAAAGAAGGAAATATAAAGTTTTGAAATTTAAAAAAGTAAATATTATAATATTTTCTCAAATAATTTACTACTCATATTCCCATTGCTTAGTTTCATTAATTTTTACAATCACATTTTACATATACAAGATATATTTCCAGGTTTATTTTCTGAATGAACTGCTAGGATCTTAGATGAGTTTATTATTTTGTACAAGGCGCCACTGCTTGATAATTGATTGTGTGTATACCCCATTCTTTTTTTTTTTTCATACTTTAAGTTTTAGGGTACATGTGCACAATGTGCAGGTTAGTTACACATGTATACATGTGCCATGCTGGTGTGCTGGACCCATTAACTTGTCATTTAGCATTAGGTATATCTCCCAATGCTATCCCTCCCCCCTCCCCCCACCCACAACAGTCCCCAGAGTGTGATGTTCCCTTTCCTGTGTCCATGTGTTCTCATTGTTCAGTTCCCACCTATGAGTGAGAACATGCGGTGTTTGGTTTTTTGTCCTTGCGATAGTTTACTGAGAATGATGATTTCCAATTTCATCCATATCCCTACAAAGGACATGAACTCATCATTTTTTATGGCTGCATAGTATTGCATGGTGTATATGTGCCACATTTTCTTAATCCAGTCTATCATTCTTGGACATTTGGATTGGTTCCAAGTCTTTGCTGCCCAAGGTAATTTATAGATTCAATGCCATCCCCATCAAGCTACCAATGACTTTCTTCACAGAATTGGAAACAACTACTTTAAAGTTCATATGGAACCAAAAAAGAGCCCACATCGCCAAGTCAATCCTAAGCCAAAAGAACAAAGCTGGAGGCATCACGCTACCTCACTTCAAACTATATTACAAGGCTACAGTCACCAAAACAGCATGGTACTGGTACCAAAACAGACATATAGATCAATGGAACAGAACAGAGCCTTCAGAAATAATGCCGCATATCTACAACTATCTGATCTTTGACAAACCTGAGAAAAACAAGCAATGGCGAAAGGATTCCCTATTTAATAAATGGTGCTGGGAAAACTGGCTAGCCATATGGAGAAAGCTGAAACTGGATCCCTTCCTTACACCTTATACAAAAATCAATTCAAGATCGATTAAAGACTTAAACGTTAGACCTAAAACCATAAAAACCCTAGAAGAAAACCTAGGCATTACCATTCAGGACATAGGCATGGGCAAGGACTTCATGTCTAAAACACCAAAAGCAATGGCAACAAAAGACAAAATTGACAAATGGGGTCTAATTAAACTAAAGAACTTCTGCACAGCAAAAGAAACTACCCTCAGAGTGAACAGGCAACCCACAAAATGGGAGAAAATTTTCGCAACCTACTCATCTGACAAAGGGCTAATATCCAGAATCTACAATGAACTCAAACACATTTACAAGAAAAAAACAAACAACCCCATCAAAAAGTGAGGGAAGGACATGAACAGACACTTCTCAAAAGAAGACATTTATGCAGCCAAAAAACACATGAAAAAATGCTCACCATCACTGGCCATCAGAGAAATGCAAATCAAAACCACAATGAGATACCATCTCGCACCAGTTAGAATGGCAATCATTAAAATGTCAGGAAACAACAGGTGCTGGAGAGGATGTGGAGAAATAGGAACACTTTTACACTGTTGGTGTGACTGTAAACTAGTTTAACCATTGTGGAAGTCAGTGTGGCGATTCCTCAGGGATCTAGAACTAGAAATACCATTTGACCCAGCCATCCCATTACTGGGTATACACCCAAAGGACTATAAATCATGCTGCTATAAAGACACGTGCACATGTATGTTTATTGTGGCACTATTCACAATAACCCATTCTTTAGACTTTTAAAATCAATACCCACTCTTCCCCATGAAAAAGAGAAAGTAAAAACAACTAAGAATGGATTTCTATATCACGATGACTCATTTTCAATAGAACACTACCATAGGTCAAATGGATGAATGCATAAATAATGAATGGATTAATATCTTTTATATAATCATGTGCCACATAACAACGTTTACATCAATAAGAGACAGCATGTAAAACAATGGCTCATTAAGATTATAATGAGGTTGAAAAATTTCTACCACCCTTATAGATTGATCACTCTATGAAGTTTGCACAGTAACAAAGTCACCTAACCACACACTTCTCAGAACATATCCTCATTGCTAAGTGACACAAGGCTATATTTTATTTAATGATTGCGTAAATATTTGTTGAGAAAAATCTGCACTCTAAGTACCAGGATAAAAGAGATTAATAATAAATTAATGATTAAATGAACCATGATCAATCTTATCATTGAGGTCTATATGCTACATTTGGATTACATCATAAAGGCAGAGGTTAATCATCGCAACTTGCACAACAGGATACAGAGTGGATCAGCAGATAACTACATAATAGAATACAGTTTGTAACCTGCAAGATGCATTAGAATTAATTAGAATCAAACCATATGTGTGACTTTGGTTTAAATGTGCAAAACCTATTAATATAGATATAGCCAGGACATTTGTATTGTCTATATATATATACTTTTTTTTTTTTTTTTTTTTTTTTTTTTTTGTGATGGAGTTTTGCTCTTGTTGCCCAGGCTGGAGTGCAATGGCATGGTTTCAGCTCACTGCAACCTCCGCTTCCAAGGTTCAAGCAATTCTCCCACCTCAGCCTCCCAAGTAGCTGGAATTACAGGGGCCAACCACCACACCAGGCCTATCTTTGTATTTTTAGTAGAAACTGCTTTCACCATGTTGGCCAGGCTGGTCTCGAACTCCTGACCTCAAGTGATCTGCCCCCCTCAGCCTCCCAAAGTGCTGGGATTACAGGTGTGAGTCACTGCACCCAGTTTGTCTTTATAAATCTTATAGAAATATTTAACTTTTAAAATCAACCACATACAATTAAGACTTTTATAAAAGTAATTAAGAAGTAAAGCAACGGAAAAAGCAATTTTTAAAAACATATATGAATGATTGAAAGCCAGGAGTAAAATTAAGAATTGTATTAAAATATCAGTATTAAAATTAGCTATATAAATATTTAATTAATGCAGCTAAATTGTTAACAAAATTTACAGAAAAAAAGTATGTTAACATTACTGAATCATCTTAAAATCTTATTAAAACTTAAAGTTCTTCTAAACTGAAATTATATCACAGAAAAAAATAATGTCACCTTAAAAAGTTTAGGATTAGAAATACATAATTATTTTTAAATATAGTCTTTATATATTAATTATATTTCATTAATGTCTTATTATTTCTTGAATAAACTTTTTTCATGATGCTATTTAAGTGCCACATTCTACAATAATATGGAAAACAATTCTACAAAATGTGGCATACAGTAATTTATAGGTAGTATAGCACATCTTTTATCTCTTTATAGCAAAAACATAATGTGTAAATTAATATAACACTAAGTCCCATATTGTCACTTTTTGTCAAAGAACTATCTCCTTGAAAACCATCATCCTCAGATGCATCTCTAACTTAAAAAGACCTTAGAAACTGTAACAATTGTAAATGCATTATAACTTAAAGAGATATTATCTTCACATTAGAGGCTAACAGGCTTATACCTACTGATAGCAGACAAGTATTACAGGAATCCTGGCAGGCAAATTGTTGCATAAAAATTATGTAATTTACTAACTGTAAAATAACCTTTAGAGTTTAGAATCAGTCAAATAAGTAGAACAGACAATTGTTATCAAAGCCATATAAATGTCTATTAAAATTATTTTTTGCTACCCTCATTTTATCTCTGAAGAGACATCTTGTTAAAAAATGAGTAATAGACACATATAAATACCTAATTACAAGCAGAGTTAAGATTAAAATTCAGCCTCATTAGGGGTGGGATAGAAATCAGTACCGTAAAGAATATTTTGGTGCAGGTAGTTTGTTTCAAATGATTCAACCTTCAACATTACTTCACTTAAATTTTAGCAAACTTTCTGCTAAAATTTAAGCATACATACATATGACACTAGACATATGTCCTGTGTAAGCCTGGGCTAGGGGAGCTCTATTAAATACTTATATAAACCCCAAAGATGTCCTAAGAAACACAATTTGGAAAAACTTTGATGTGCTACAGCACAGATTTTCTCATACAGCAACAGAGCAGACACTTGAATGTAGTTATACTCCTGCTTTCCACCTCCCTGTCAAAACACTGCTCATGCTGTGTGACCTTCATGTCCCATATGCCTAGACTGTAAATATGCTTTCTGAATTTTAAAAGAATTAGTATACTATGCTTACATTAAGCAAAAAAGTACCCTTATTATGCAGGATCAAGTAACACTCTAAAGATTCATGTTTATGAAAAAACACTGATGATTCTATTTTATTATGTGTCTTCTAAAGAGAAAAATACTTGTGCTCTGCAGCATAATTTTACAATGTGCTATTCTAAATACTTTCATTTAAACAAGATCATTATGAAAACGTTTTGCACACAGAAATATATTTTGAATACTTTTTTAAAAAGATCACAAAATATATGGTCTCTGTACGTGTTCAATTATTTTAATGCTTTCACTATAACAGGAATTCTTAAAGAGGATATGTATTTGCATAATGCTGATAATCCTTTCTCATTTCTGTTTGTGCTTTGGCTGTTGTTATAACCACTGAAAGTAGTAATTATATGAGTGTATTATCCATGATTATCTTTAGATATATGTGCATTTTCTTTAATTAAACTATAAACTCTAAATGAAAAATAAAAAAGAAGTCACCTCCTGTCTCTTTGTACAATATTAAAATTTTTTTCTTATATCCAGAGTTTCCCAAATGCCTGTTGCAAAATTTTACTTAGGGAGTAGAAAGTGGAGAATCAATATGGTAAAAAAAACTGTGTTACAGGGAAGGAGACACAGGGTAAGCATTTTCCTTATCTTCTCTCCTGTATGTACGTGCTGCACAAGCATAAATGATAGCAGTCACATGAACGAGTACTTTTCAAGAACGTAGAATATTGTGATGGAAAAAAAACCCGCTTTGAAACATCGAATAATATAAAGGCCAGCACTACTACAACTATTTTTTACATCCATAGAAGGTAAACTATTTTTAGATATAAAATTCCTTCTAACAGTGGTCCTGATCATTTAACCAATATTTTGATAAAAGAAGGGAAAAATGGACATTCAGTCCAAAGATGGGCATGTATTCCCATGCCCAGTCAGGCAAAACTTGTGGATGCTCTTTAAAATAACAATTCATTCAACAAATAATTTTTAAATGGCTACTGAATACCTGGAAAGGTTCTAGACACAGGGGCTATACTAATAAACAAGAAGGAACTAATTGACAAGAATGTGCTCACTGACAATGAAACATCTCCTCATGGAGCTTGAGTTCTATTTGAAAAGACAGAGAACAAAAAAATATTATTGCACAGAGTGTTAGTTATGTGTGAATTAAAAGACTAGTCAGTACTTGAAGGAGAAGGAGTGACAACAAATCTCACTTCCAGTTCTATTTACCTGAACAGATTAATTCTATTTTGTTTCAATGCAACAATAGTCCTACTTTAACAAGATCCACTACACAAAGCAAACAACTTATAAAATGCATTTTTTCCTTATATTGCAAATCAATTTTAAGTGGATCTACAAATATACAATAAATAATATAAATTAGGGATCGTTTGTTTCTAAGGTAATAAGTAGATTTGTTAATTTCACATAAATAATTTCAGAAGGAGAGCAAATGTAAAAATGTGTTTTAGACAGTGGAGATGCTATTTTATTGTAAGACTATTTATAATCAAAGGTCAAAGTAATGAGCTTTCTATGTCAATGATCATCCTTCTCTATTTCACCCAGTTCCAGACAAACCCAAGTCTTCCAAGTCTCTTCATACATCTGATCCAATAAAATCTACAATGAGTTCAGTTAGCATACACACACACACACACACACCACACACACACAAGCATACACACACACACACGACTGCATTGAAATATTTGCCCTAAGGAAGGAACATAGTGTATATGCAACTTGTGTACTTTCTAAGTATGGGAAGACTAATCCTTTAACAACTGCATTTACTTTCTTTCACTTCTATCGTTGCTATCTACTCCTCAGAAATCTACTTAAACAACCAATAAATATATATGATGTTGTTATGAGAGTTTTGGAAATAATTCCTAAAAATTTACATGGCTGCCTCTTTATATTTGGCAGCTTCATTAAGTATCACCCACGGGAACAACCCCTGCAGAATGATCAGAATATAAAGCATGTGAGCCCTGGGTTTCTCAGGCACTGGAAGGACCTGTCAGAATCCTCCCAGATGGGTCAAAATGGCCGGGCTTTATACCTCATCTCCATTCATGTTTGCATGTCTGGTGCTCCAGGATGACCTAACATTGAGCCAGACAATGGTTACAGCTGAGGCAAACTTTGAAGGAGCTGAGAGCTGAAGGCTGCTTTGTAATATCGCTCCTAGCAGCCAAGGGGGAAAGAAATCTTTTCTTGAAGAGCGATCTGTGTCCATCGCAAAATGTTTCTTTCCTAGCTCTTGTAAAATAGAAATTGTTTGCTTTTGAATTTTTTTAAATGATTCCTTTAAGATTCTTAATACCAAGATATCACAAGGTCAAGGAATTTTATAAAGAAGTATTTCTATTTATGTAATTTCCTAAATTTATCTATACATAAATCAGCACTAAAACATGCCTTTGATACTAACAACTTGATTGGTTTGTGAACCAAAACTGTCATGCAAATACATACGGCTGTTTTTAGATAAATTCTAAAGGTATTACCAAATAATTTAATTTTATTGTGTATCTCAATATTCTGGTTGATGTATAAGTTTAAATAGAACAAACTATTTGACATTGAAATGTTCTTTATCAAAGGAGAAGGAATACAATTTTAAAGCCACAACGAGTGACACATAGTTCTGAATGATTTATTGGCTGTCTGCCATTCTGAAATGGCTGCCAGTCAATGTTACATGTGACATCTTTCAGATAGTGTGAACTCTTTTATGCAAGTACCTTTCACTATAAAATTACAGCTGAAGATCATGAAGAGAAAAGTGTGGTGTTTATCTTAATGGGCTGAAAGACCTATTTCAACAGTTACAATAATTCAGAAAAATAGTCTCAAGTCTAGTATTTCAATAATGTTATTTTCATAGATTTTAGTCTCTAAAGACAATGCTTCAGTTTTGTAGAAAATGACTTTTCTAATCATCCTGGATTTCAAAATTCTTTCCATTACTTAATATTTAAATCACTGGCAGAACTTGGCATGAGGACTAGAGAGCTGTCACCAAGCAGCCAGTCATTTTTCTTGGCTTCCAATATGCCATGGCCAGCAATAGAGCATTTCTTAGGGGCTGAGGAATAGCAGCAGTGCTAAACACAGAGATGACATTAACAGGAATGAGAGGGTCCAAGCTGTTTTCCTAGACTAATTCTCATTCAGCCTGAATCAAAGCATTTTCTTATCATTATTATAGATATTTCGCTTGTGGTATTATCTATCTTTTGGCAATGTTGATTTTTTTCTGATTATCCAAATAAGTAATGTTAATGGAAAAAATCAGATACTAGGGGAAAAAAAACTCTAGAAATAAATGTTAACCCAAGACAGTAACAATTCAATTAATTTATATGATACCTTAGGGATTGTGTCAATTATTTTTTAAATGAAATTCTAAAAATTCAACACCTGTGTTTTCTCCTATGATTACATATTCAACTAGGGCACAATTGTAAATGGTTGTATTTGGTTGAATTTTTAGACTGTTTATAAGTTTTACTCTTGCAGACAATAATAATGGAGTTTCTTTGAAAATAAATTTAGTTGTTCTATAACCAAGGCATAAATATTCAATTCAATAAAATTAGCAAAAATATTAAATGAAAAGTATATTATATATAAAATGCATAAATAAAATAAAATATCCTGCACTGATCATTTTATGTCTATGGTTACCCTATTGATTCTGTGCACATTTGCATATGGGTATATATGCAATTTTATAAAATGAAGTATTCATAGTGTACATTAATTTAGTAATTATTTTACCCCTTAAAAGTATATGCAATGAGTTTCATTTATATATAAATTTTGTTAACCTGGAAGAAGAATGTTAGTCAAAAAAACTACGAATTTAACCATATTCTGGTTAATTCAAAGGGCTTTCCAAAAATGTCTTTTAAAATTTAATTTCATTTATTTTCTCATAGCACAATATGAGAATGAATCTTTTTTGCTGCAAATTGGCTAGCAATAAATTTTTATTTTTATTATTTTAATTCTGTGAATTTGGGGAATGGAGTCTCATTCTGTATAAATATTATAATACTAATGAGATTGACTCCCTCCTTCTTATTAACAGTGTGCATTTTTACCCTCAGTGATTCAGTGCATGGTGTAGTGCTATAATTAAAAATGAACATTTCGGTTAGTTACATATGTATACATGTGCCATGCTGGTGTGCTGGACCCATTAACTCGTCATTTAGCATTAGGTATATCTCCTAATGCTATCCCTCCCCCCTCCCTCTACCCCACCACAGTCCCCAGAGTGTGGTGTTCCCCTTCCTGTGTCCATGTGTTCTCATTGTTCAAATCCCACCTATGAGTGAGAATATGCGGTGTTTGGTTTTTTGTCCTTGTGATAGTTTACTGAGAATGATGATTTCCAATTTCATCCATGTCCCTACAAAGGACATGAACTCATCATTTTTTATGGCTGCATAGTATTCCATGGTGTATATGTGCCACATTTTCTTAATCCAGTCTATCATTATTGGACATTTGGGTTGGTTCCAAGTCTTTGCTATTGTGAATAGTGCTGCAATAAACATACGTGTGCATGTGTCTTTATAGCAGCATGATTTATAGTCCTTTGGGTATATACCCAGTAATGGGATGGCTGGGTCAAATGGTATTTCTAGTTCTAGATCCCTGAGGAATCGCCACACTGACTTCCACAATGGTCGAACTAGTTTACAGTCCCACCAACAGTGTAAAAGTGTTCCTATTTCTCCACATCCTCTCCAGCACCTGTTGTTTCCTGACTTTTTAATGATTGCCATTCTAACTGGTGTGAGATGGAATCTCATTGCGGTTTTGATTTGTCCTCTCTCACCACTCCTATTCAACATAGTGTTGGAAGTTCTGGCCAGGGCAATTAGGCAGGAGAAGGAAATAAAGGGTATTCAAGTAGGAAAAGAGGAAGTCAAATTGTCCCTGTTTACAGATGACATGATTGTATATCTAGAAAACCCCATCGTCTCAGCCCAAAATCTCCTTAAGCTGATAAGCAACTTCAGCAAAGTCTCAGGTTACAAAATCAATGTACAAAAATCACAAGCATTCTTATACACCAATAACAGACAAACAGAGAGCCAAATCATGAGTGAACTCCCATTCGCAATTGCTTCAAAGAGAATAAAATACCTAGGAATCCAACTTAAAAGGGATGGGAAGGACCTCTTCAAGGAAAACTACAAACCACTGCTCAAGGAAATAAAAGAGGATACAAAGAAATAGAAGAACATTCCATGCTCACGGGTAGGAAGAATCAATATCGTGAAAATGGCCATACTGCCCAAGGTAATTTATAGATTCAATGCCATCCCCATCAAGCTACCAATGACTTTCTTCACAGAATTGGAAACAACTACTTTAAAGTTCATATGGAACCAAAAAAGAGCCCACATTGCCAAGTCAATCCTAAGCCAAAAGAACAAAGCTGGAGGCATCACGCTACCTGACTTCAAACTATACTACAAGGCTACAGTCACCAAAACAGCATGGTACTGGTACCAAAACAGAGATATAGATCAATGGAACAGAATGGAGACCTCAGAAATAACGCCGCATATCTACAACTATCTCATCTTTGACAAACCTGAGAAAAATAAGCAATGGGGAAAGGATTCCCTATTTAATAAATGGTGCTGGGAAAACTGGCTAGCCATATGGAGAAAGCTGAAACTGAATCCCTTCCTTACACCTTATACAAAAATTAATTCAAGATGGATTAAAGACTTAAACATTAGACCTAAAACCATAAAAGCCTAGAAGAAAACCTAGGCATTACCATTCAGGACATAGGCGTGGGCAAGGACTTCATGTCTAAAACACCAAAAGCAACAACAACAAAAGACAAAATTGACAAATGGGATCTAATTAAACTAAAGAGCTTCTGCACAGCAAAAGAAACTACCATCAGAGTGAACAGGCAGCCTACAAAATGGGAGAAAATTTTCACAACCTACTCTTCTGACAAAGGGCTAATATCCAGAATCTACAAGGAACTCAGACACATTTACAAGAAAAAAACAAACAACCCCATCAAAAAGTGGGCGAAGGACATGAACAGACACTTCTCAAAAGAAGATATTTATGCAGCCAAAAAATACATGAAAAAATGCTCACCATCACTGGCCATCAGAGAAAAATGAACATTTCAAAGACAGATTATGTGCTTCCAAATGCCAAATCATCACTAAATAGCTCTGTGGCATAGAGGAAATTTCACAATCTTTTAGTGCCCCAATTTTGTGGAAGAATGGTTAGGAGGCTGTTGCAATAACAAAAGAAAAGTTGAATAGCTGTATCCAACATGAAAAAATTGCTAGTAGAATTAAATGATTTACTATAGGTAAAACAATCAAGGAAGTAATTAAAGAGAATCTGCACTAACATTGTTTTATTAATTTAAAATATCTGTACACAATCCTTTGATTCATTTGGAATCAGTTTTAGT
Source organism: Homo sapiens (assembly GCF_000001405.40). NCBI lineage: Eukaryota > Metazoa > Chordata > Mammalia > Primates > Hominidae > Homo > Homo sapiens. The sequence continues at coordinate 21,366,162 of NC_000005.10, read as the reverse complement.
GTATTTTAGAAAATAAGGTTTATTTTTTATTTTCTCCCAAAACAATTCTTCAAGACAACTTTTCGAACAGTAAATTCCTTCTTTGTTTATAATATGTATTTTAATAAAGTGACTTATCTTCATGATTTCTAGGACATCTGTTCTATCTAATTTATTGTTCAGCATTCGTCTGAGTATATTCTGGGCAGCAATTAACCCCTGTGTACCTCTGAGTGCCCACATTTCCTTGATCCATTTCACCTTGCTGATCAATCCTTCTTTACTCATAGTCTAAATTTTTTTTTTAGAAATTCTGAGAGTGCCCCAAACCTTGGTCTTGGGTCTTCCTTCAATCTTATTTGTCTTTCCACCTGATCTTAATTATTTACATCACATCATACCCTATCTTTATGGTGACAAATCTCAAAATTATCTCTCTGACCTAAACTTATCATTAAAGATTTGGTTGCAACTTATTAAGAAGTCAGGTTCAATGTAATACATGCATTGTTGATTTAATATGCTCATCAAAATATTTAAAATTTTATTTGAATGCAAAAAAATAAAGCTCTTAATTTTATCTCCTATATAATAATTTTGACAAAAACATTATACCAATCATTACTAATTATTGCTGGGTTTTAAAATATTATCTGATTAAATATTTTTGACTTTGAAAAATGGTAACAAATGCTTCTCTCTTTCTTGTCCCCTTGAACCATACTTGATATTGCTTTTTCCAAATCCGGGCCCCAAGTTCAGAATATAACCTGTTAAAATATCTTCTGTGTATAAACTATCTTTAAATTTTCTTGAGAGAATACTGAGTAACCAAAAGCATTGCTCCTTCACCCTATGAAAGAGAGAAAAATTTAAAAATCCCATTAATTTGTTATTTTAAATGGTAATTAAAGCTATTGTGAGGGCTCTTTTATCGGCCAAACTTGTGAACAAAAAACAGCTCAAATTTATGTGTAAATAAAATATATTGAGATGAAGCCTTTCATTCAATGTGTGATTTTCAGTTCAAAAAAACACACTGATGTTCAAGAACAAAGACCGGTACAATAACTATCTACAAAATGCTTTTGTTACTAGATTTTAATTCCTTCATCAAACAGACACAGTCAAAGTTGATAGTGTCACTAGATCTAGAGGTCTATGAATATCCTTCCCAGGATTTAATATGTTCTTAATCTCAGGGAAATTCTAAATCATATTCTTCTCAATTGTACAGTTGACTCCTGAACAACACAAGGTTTAGGGGCATCAAACCTCCCTAACCCCTCCCCACCACCCCAGCACAGTCAAAAATTCACATATAACTTTGGACTCCCCAAAACTAAACTAAGAGCCTACTGTTGACTGGAAAATCCTTAACACATATTTCATATGCTGTATTTTACACTGTAGTTTTACAATGAAGCTAGTTACAGAAAAGAGTTATTAAGAAAATTATAAGGAAGAAAAAATACATTTACAGTACTACAGTATATTTATTTCTCTCATAAGTTTACAATCCTGTGTTTACAAGATGGAGCCTTCTTCTGAAATGGCGGCACACACAGCTGCAGACCTCAATCTAGGGTACCTATCAAGCAATTCATTTTTTTCCTGTAATGTCAGGACCCTTCTCTGTTTCCTGGAAGAACTTTCAGCATCACTAGCAGCACTTTTTACAGGTCTGAAGGTGTTATTCAAGGTTTATGGTATTGCACTAGACATCATGAATAATACAGGAGAAACATGAGAGATCACTTTTTACTGTGTTAATTTACTGGAGAGACAAGCTACTCACAAGATGATGATTAGCATTATGTGGCATTTTAAGTGAATACTCACAACACCTGAGTTCACTGCAAGAACAACAGGTGGAGGCTAGGAAATTATCCCAGTAGTACAGTATGTACTACAGTTAATTTTGTGCAGTTATGATTTACTTATGTATATTTTTGTTTTACTTTTCTCTCAACTTCAATTGGCTGCATGTATGCTCTGTGTGTGCCTACGTCTTGATAAATTTTAACTTTTTATAATAGATGCATATATATTTCATTGTATTAAATGATCGCTAGTATCTACATATAATCTATGCATTCATGACAACATTTTCTTAGTTTTTTAATATTTCTTGTGTAGATGGGTCACCTGTTATCTTTTTCAATTTTTCATAAATCTCCAAAAATTTTCTAATATATTTATAGGAAAAAATCTACATATGAGCAGACCTGCATAGTTCAAACCTGTGTTGTTGAGGAGTCAACTATATATTATAATTTAAGAGAGGATTCAACTCTTTCATTCTACTGGCAATGGATTAACATAAACTTTAGTCAGAACTGCTGAGCTTTTCTGGCACAATGAGGACAAATTGACCAATGTATTTAACCAATAGCTGGGGGAAAATTTTGTTAAAATTGGTAAGTATATCTTTATATAACTATACCCTTATAACTTGTCTCAACCTTCGTCAGATTAATCCTAGCAAAACTGTAAAATGTCTCAGTAAAAATCTAAATGAATTTTTCATAACAAGTGCTGGCAATAGATTTTAAATATGTTCTGATCATTATTTGTCTCTTGTTGGCATGGAGAAAATCCTTTTTTTTTTTTCAGCCTGGGGAATCCCAAACTATATCTCTAGTAACAAGGAAACCATTTTACTGGAATTTTTATTAACTAACGTGGCAAAGTTTTGTCAATTAATCAGACTTCACTGTCCATATCAGTTTCAACCTTTTGGGAAGGTAGGAAGATGGAATTCTGAAACTAAAGTTGGTAAAGTTCACAGAGATGGTCAAACTTGCATGGTCTAAGGTATTTCTTCTTTCTGTGGTTCATCTGTGGTTCATGAGTTAGTAACAGCTAAACCAAGTGTCTAGGAATATTAGCTCTGATTCTAGAAATCTACACTTATTTAACTAAATGCTGTAAGGACTCAGGAAATCCATTCTTTCAACAAAAGTTACTGAAGACTTTCCCCATTAGTATCCTAAACAATGTCTGCAAAATTGGTTTTCATACCTGGATACCTTGTCTTCTAAGAGACACGGCAGAGAAAGATCATAGGAAAAAAGTCAGTATCAGGCACAGCTAACAACTAGCAAACCCATAGTCTTTAAAAGACTGATCCTTTGATTCCTATCTCTCAAGTAAAGAGGTTTAGGTCATCTTCATATTACAGGAAAGTATCCCTACCAAAAACTTCTAACTAATGACTCTTAGGATTCTTCCAAAAGCAAATAGTCTTTGGGAGAAGACAGCTTCCATCAAATGCCTTTGGATCAAGTGAATCACTATATGAGATATCGGTATCTGCAAACCAAGATCCACATAAAAAGATCCATTGTTTGTCATATTTAATCTGTATATCTTGAGTTTTCATTTTCCTAGTTAACTTTTTTTATCTTTTTATGCTTAAGGTTACATTTAATTACTTTACCTATAAAGCTACTATTCCTAATTCCTCTATGCTGTCCTTAGTCACTCTCTAGAAGAGTCCGGAAGCTGGCTGTAATTTGTTCACAATTTGGCTAAACATGCAGTTGAATCAGTGCTAAGCTGCACACATTTTCCTTAGGATGCCAATTAGTTTTTTTTTTTTAACATCGATTCCTAAATATGAAACATCTGGGTTTATCAATAATTGGACTCACTATTTATTGTTATTTTATCTGACAAACAGCAGAGTATTAGATAAATAGAAATCTTAAATCCTAACATGCTGCACCCAGGAAAGAAAGCTTATGCCTACAGCAGAACAGCACTTAGGAATCTTTAATAGAATGCAACTTCTGTCACTAAACCTTTAGAAAGAAATGTCTTAAGAGAACAAATGGCACATACTTAATTCATTTCTCACATTTACATATCATAAAAAATTCTTATTACAAATTCAAGCTCCTATCACATCTACCTCTTCCTCTATGTGATAAGGTCTTCATTTTATATCCCCAAAAGTGATTAATAGCAAAATGGAGCTGAAAGCAATCAATAAACTCAATCAACCTTAATGACTGCTACTGGATTTGTGGTACCAGAACCTATTGATTATTACAGCAATCTTGACATAAACTAACATATTGATGTGGTAGTCAGAATAATGGCTCTTCAGAGATGATGGGGTCCTAATCCAGATAATTTATAAATTTGTTAGCTTACCTGGCAGGACAGAGTTTGCAAATGCAATTAAAGTTAAGGATTTTGAAATGGAGAGACTATCATAGATTTTTAGATGGCCAAATGCAATCATAAGATTCTTTACATGTAGAAGAGGGAGATATAAAAGGAGAATGTGAAGACTTGCTCCTTCATTTGTAGCTTTGAAGGCGAAGGAAAGGAACTGTTATGAACTGAATATTTGTGTCTCCCTAAAATTAATCTATTGAAGATGATTGGCATTGTTCAAATATTAATAGATTATTTTCAATAATCTATTAATTGGCAGTGTGATAGTATCTGGAGATGGAGCTTTTGGGAGGAACCTAGGTTGAAATAATGTCATAAGTGTGGTGTTCTCAGGATAATGTTAGTGTTCTTATAAGAAAAGGTGGAGATACTAGACCACCTCCCACCCAACCACCCTTCTTTTTCTCTCTCCATAAACATGTATCCAGGAAAGGCCATGTGAACACAGAGAGAAGGTGGCCATCTACTAACCAGAGAGGGAGTGGGCCCTCACCATGAACCAAATATACCAGCACCTTAATCTTGGACTTCCCAACTTTCAGAACTCTGAGAAATAAATGTCTGTTGTTTAAGTCACCTGGTCTATGGTATTTTCTTACAGTATTCCAAGCTGCCCAAGACAGGGAACATGCATCAAAGAATGCAGCTGGATTCTAAAGCCTGGGAAAGGCCAGGTCATGGATTATTCCACAGAGACTATAGAAGGAATGCAGTCTTCCAATGCTTTGATTTTAACTCAGTAAGACCTGTGTTGAACTTCTAACCTGGAATACTGCTAGACAATAAATTTATGTTGTTTTAAACTACTAGGCGTATTGTAATTTTTATAACAGCCACAGGAAAATAATACATTTGGCAAATCAGTGCATGTTTCATGATGGTCAATGATATGCCCCAGGGTCCATCTTAGCCATGATTTCTATCCCTTCAAAAACCAAAACAAAATAAAAAAGTAAAACAAAAAGACCAATTTTACTATATAACTTGATTTTTAAAAATATTTTATATTTATTTAATCCAGTATATCCAAAATATTGTCATCTCAGCATAAAACAATATTAAAATTATTCAGTTTTACATTTTTAAACTAAATCTAGTTTGTATTTTACATATAGCATAAATCAATTCAAATTCACCATATTTCAAGTGTTCAATATCTACATGTCACTAGTAATGACTGTAGTGGACAGAATTGATCCAGATTTCCAAGTGTACTGGTATAAAACTAACCATATTTTTATCTTATTAAAACAAAACAAAACTCCTCCATAACTATGTCTATGTTCCTTTTGCTTTTATTAACATTGAACATATTCTTGTTTTTAATCTAATTTTGTCTGTATTTAGGTCTATTTTTTGGTGTTGTTATTTCTTGTATGCTTGGCATCAACTTTTTTTGCAATTTCTTAGACTATCTAAACTATTATGCTCTAAGTTTAGCTCAATTTCAATCAGCTACTCACTTTGAAAAACTCATTTAACTCTCTTAAGCCATTCTCCACAAACATGAAAAATCTTCCTCTCACTCTTCCCTGCTGAAACACTGCAAAAATATGTCAAAATGGTGTACTTTCTTGGCACAGGGTTTCGATAAACTTAGTTTTGCTTTAATAACAAATTATCTGAATATATTTCAGGGAGTTCAACTGGTAAAAGCATAAAATAATGTTAGTTCAGGTCATCTTTTGTAAAGTTATGATTGTGCCATAGTATCAATTCTTGTCAAAATTTATGACTTCAAAATCAACTTAATATGCATCAACATAGATATTTTTTAGTAATTCTAGACTCCAGGTGCTCATTTAAATAATATGGGTACAAGACTGAACAAAAACAGTTGCTATTGAATGTACATTCTAGAGAAATACTTCATACACAGCTGTGTTTTGTTAAATAAGGAACTTGATGACATAATCAATATCATGGCAGCATACAACTGTTTGGTTAGTATGTCTCTTTAAACAAGCACATACGCTCATTCATGGAGTGTGTATTTGTATCTGTGTCTGTGTCTGTGTGGTGAAGCAGCAAGCAATAATTGGATGTCTTCATTATCTAACAGGAAAAAACACCTAAATAATCAAAAGAAATTTTGATTTATTTATTAGTTCGACTGAGCTTTTCTCTTGAATGTAACACAGATGGTCCCAGATTTACAACGGTACAACTTTACAGCTTTATCATGGTACAAAAGTGATAAACATTCAGTAGAAACAATACTTTTATTACCCATATACCCATTCTGTTTTTCACATTCAGTATTTAATAATTTACATGTGATATTCAACACTTTATTTAAAAATAGGCTTTAGGTTAGATATTTTTTTCGGACTGGCTAATGTAAGTGTTCTGAGCACATTTCTTAAGTGTATTTTTTTTTAATACTTTAAGTTCTAGGGCACATGTGCACAACTTGCAGGTTTGTTACATATGTATACATGTGCCATGTTGGTTTGCTGCACCCATTAACTCATTATCTACATTAGGTATTTCTCCTAATGCTATCCCTACCCCATCCCCCCACCCCACAATAGGCCCCAGCATGTGATGTTACCCACTCTGTGTCCAAGTGTTCTCATTGTTCAATTCCCACCTATGAGTGAGAACACACGGTGTTTGGTTCTCTGTTCTTGCGAAGGTTTGCTCAGAATGATGGTTTCCAGCTTCATCCATGTCACTACAAAGGACGTGAACTCATCCTTTTTTATGCCAGCATAGTATTCCATGGTGTATATATGCCACATTTTCTTAATCCAGTCTATCATTGATGGACATTTGAGTTGGTTCCAAGTCTTTGCTATTGTGAATAGTGCCGCAATAAACATACATGTGCATGTGTCTTTGTAACAGCATGATTTATAATGCTTTGGGTATATACCCAGTAATGGGATCACTGGGTCAAATGGTATTTCTAGTTCTAGATACTTGAGGAATTGCCATACTGACTTCCACAATGGTTGAACTAGTTTACACTCCCAACAGTGTAAAAGCATTCCTATTTCTCCACATCCTCTCCAGCACCTGTTGTTTCCTTTTTAATGATCGCCATTCTAACTGGTGTGAGATGCTATCTCATTGTGGTTTTGATTTGCATTTCTCTGATGACCAGTGATGATGAGCATGTTTTCATGTGTCTGTTGGCTGCATAAATGTCTTCTTTTGAAAAGTGTCTGTTCATATCCTTTGTCCACTTTTTGATGGGTTTGATTTTTTCTTGTAAATTTGTTTAAGTTCTTTGTAGATTCTGGATATTAGCCCTTTGTCAAATGGGTAGATTGCAAAAATTTTCTCCCATTCTGTAGGTTGCCTGTTCACTCTGATGGTAGTTTCTTTTGCTGTGCAGAAGCTCTTTAGTTTAATAAGACCCCATTTGTCTATTTTGGCTTTTGTTGCCATTGCTTTTGATGTTTTATTCATGACGTCCTTGCCCATACCTATGTCCTGAATGGTATTGCCTAGGTTTTCTTCTAGGGTTTTTATGGTTTTAGGTCTAACATTTAAGTCTTTAATCCATCTTGAATTAATTTTTCTATAAGGTGAAGGAAGGGATCCAGTTTCAGCTTTCTACATATGGCTAGCCAGTACCATTTATTAAATAGGGAATCCTTTTCCCATTTCTTGTTTTTTCAGGTTTGTCAAACATCAGATGGTTGTAGATGTTTAGTGTTATTTCTGAGGCCTCTGTTCCATTCCACTGGTCTATATCGCTGTTTTGGTACCAGTAAAATGCTGTTTTTGTTACTGTAGCCTTGTAGTATAGTTTGAAGTCAGGTACCATGATGCCTCCAGCTTTGTTCTTTTTGCTTAGGATTGTCTTGGCAATATGGGCTCTTTTTTTGATTCCATATGAACTTTAAAGTAGTTTTTTCCAATTCTGTGAAGAAAGTCATTGGTAGCTTGATGGGGATGGCATTGAATCTATAAATTACCTTGGGCAGTATGGCCACTTTCACGATATTGATTCTTCCTACCCATGAGCATGGAATCTTCTTCCATTTGTTTGTGTCCTCTTTTATTTCGTTGAGCAGTGGTTTGTAGTTTTCCTTAAAGAGGTCCTTCACATCCCTTGTAAGTTGGATTCCTAGGTATTTTATTCTCTTTGTAGCAATTGTGAATGGGAGTTCACTCATGATTTGGCTCTCTGTTTGTCTGTTATTGGTGTATAAGAATGCTTGTGATTTTTGCACATTGATTTTGTAACCTGAGACTTTGCTGAAGTTGCTCATCAGCTTAAGGAGATTTTGGGCTGAGATGATGGGGTTTTCTAAATATACAATCATATCATCTGTAAACAGGGACAATTTGACTTCCTCTTTTCCTAATAGAATACCCTTTATTTCTTTCTCTTGCCTGATTGCCCTGGCCAGAACTTCCAACACTATGCTGAATAGGAGTGGTGAGAGAGGGCATCACTGTCTTGTGCTAGTTTTCAAAGGGAATGCTTTCAGTTTTTGCCTATTCAGTATGATACTGGCTGCGGGTTTGTCATATATAGCTCTTATTATTTTGAGATATGTTCCATCAATACCTAGTTTATTGAGAGTTTTTAGCATGAAGGGCTATTGAATTTTGTCAAAGACCTTTTCTGCATCTATTGAGATAATCATGTGGTTTTTGTCTTTGGTTCTCTTTATGTTATGGATTACATTTATTGATTTGCGTATGTTGAACCAGTCTTGCATCCCATGGATGAAGCCAACTTGATCTTGGTGGATAAGCTTTTTGATGTGCTGCTGGACTCGGTTTGCCAGTATTTTTGTTAAATGTACTAAATGCATTTTTTACCTAAAATATTTTCAACTTATGAGTATATCCAGATCCATCATAACACATCTTGGCCTGTGGTTATCAGGATGTAACTCATTATAAGTCGAGGTAGATTTGTATTATATCCCATGTACACACACACACACACACACACACACACACACACACACACACAATCTGTTTACAGAAATAAAAGGAATAAAATACCGTTTCTATTATACACCAACACTAGCCATCTTGATAGATACTTCACTCTGAAAAATAACATTTTATAGCTACTTTACAGATTAGTATAATAATTTGGTGTTTCTGTTTCAGAGATTCGATTTCACATTTCAATAAGTAGGCCGCTCCCTCTGCTAAGCCTGGGAATGTAATTCTTTTGAAAAATTATCTGTGCTGTAAAATTACATGTCATATCAGGAAAAGGACAATCGCAAACAGTAGTCACACATAAAATCAAGCAACACAGACATCCTTTTCACATACAGTGAAGACCCTTGTCAATTTTGAGATTACACAGGAAAACAGAATGGGGGACAAGTGTCTCTGACACACAGAAAATCCCTTGAAGAAGAACTCAGCTAACACAATCAAAACATACACAAAAACTGAAAGAAACAAGGTGAGTGCTTTTTATATTAGTTCAGCTGTCAAGAAAGTGTAAAATAAACCTAACATTTTTTTACTAAGTGAGTATTGTCTTTTTTGAAACATCATCATTTATATTTATCCAGTTTGCAACTTCATCAGCTGAATCTCAGGATGTGTTCCATGACACTGAAGGACAATTAAATCATATCCATGACAATATATGAGAAGCTGACAGGAGAACATGGTGGCATTTGAATTAATGTCTATCATTAGACAGAATTTCTGATCACATAATTTAAGTTGTAGTTTTCCATACAATTTAATCAAGATAAGCACTTATTAGGTTAGTGATATAGTTTGGCTCTGTGTCCCCACACAAATCTCATGTTGAATCGTAATCCCCACGTGTCAGGGGAGGGGTCTGGTAGGAGGTGATTTGATCATGGGGGTGGATTTCCCATACTGTTCTCATGACAGTCAGTGAGTTCTCACAAGATCTGATGGTTTAAAAGTGTGTGGAACTTCCCCCCGGCTCTTCTCTCTACTGACACCATGTGAAGAAGGCGCCTGCTCCCCCTTTACCTTCTGCCATGATTGTTAGTTTCCTGAGGCCTCCCAGCCATGCTTCCTGTTAAGCTTGCAGAACTGTGAGTCAATTAAACCTCTTTTCCTCATAAATTACCCAGTCGTTCTTTATAGCAGTTTGAGAAGAGATAAATACAGAAAATTGGTACCAGAGAAGTGGGGCATTGCTATAAAAATACCTGAAAATATGGAAGTAACTTTGGAACTGGGTAACAGGCAGAGGTAGGAAACAGTTTGGAGGACTCAGAAGAAGACAGGGAGATGTGGGAAAGTTTAAATCTTCCTAGAGACCTGTTGAATGGTTGTGAACAAAATGCTGATAATGATTTGGATAATGAAGTCCAGGCTGAGGGGGTCTCAGATGGAGATGAGGAACTCATTGAGAACTGAAGAAAAAGTTACTCTTGCTATGCTTTAGCAAAGAGACTGATAGCATTTTGACCTGGCCCTAGAGATCTGTGTAATGTTGAACTTGAGAGAGATGATTTAGGGTACCTGGTGAAATAAATTTCTAAGCAACAGACCCTCCAACATGTGGCCTGGCTGCTTCTAAAAGTTTATGCTCATGTCCATGAAGAAAGAGATGGCTTGAAACTAAAACGTATATTTAAAAGGATAGCAGAGCATAAAAGTTTGGAAAATTTGCAGCCTAACCATATAGTAAAAAAGAAAATCCCACTTGGGAGAAATTCAAGCAAAAATTTGCATAAGTAAAGAAGAGCCAAATGTTAATAGCAAAGACAATGTGGAATATGTCTCCAGTACATTTCAGAGATCTTTGAGGCAGCCCCTCCCATTATAAGCCTGGAGGCCTAGGAGGGAGAAATTGTTTAGTGGGCTGGGCCCAGGGCCCTGCTGCTCTGGGCAGCCTCGGGACATGGTGCCCAGTGTTCCAGCTGCTCAGCTCCAACTATGGCTAAAAGGGTCCAAGGCACTACTCAGGCCATTGCTTCAGAGAATACAAGCCTCAAGCTTTGGTGGCTTCCACATGAGGTTGGGCCTGTGGTTGTGCAGAAGGGAAGAGTTGAGGTTTGGGAACCTCCATCTAGATTTCAGAGGATGTATGGAAATGCCTGGATGTCTAGGCAAAAGTCTGCTGCAGAAGTGGAGCCCTTATGGAGAACCTCTACTAGGGCAGTGCAGAGGGAAAATGTGGGGTTGGAGCCCCCACACCGAGTCCCCACTGGGGCACTCCCTACTGGAGCTTTGAGAAGAGGGTCATAGTGCTTCAGACCCCAGAATGGTAGATCCACTGACAGCTTGCACAGTGTGCCTGGAAAAGTCACAGGCACTCAATCCTAGCCTGTGAAAGCAGCTGTGGGGGCTGTGCCTTGTAGAGCCACAGAGGCAGAGCTGTCAAAGCTCATGGGAGCCCAGATATTGCATCAGTATGCTCTGGATGTCAGAGATGAGGTGAAAGAAGATTGTTTCAGAGCCTTAAGATTTAATGACTGCCTTGTCGGGTTTTGGACTTGCATGGGGCCTGCAGACCCTTTGTTTTGGCTAATTTCTCCCTTATGGTATTGGAGTGTTTACCTGATCCCTGTACTCCCATTGTATCTTGAAATTAACTAACTTGTTTTTGATTTTACAGGCTTATAGGCAGAAGGGATTTGCCTTGTCTCAGATGAAACTTTGGACATGGACTTTTGAGTTAATGCTGGAATAAGTTAAGACTTTCAGTCTGTTGGGAAGCCATGATTGGTTTTGAAATGTGAGAAGGACATGATACTTGGGAGGGGCCAGAGGAGGAATAATATGGCTTGGCCCTCTGTCCCCACCCAAATCTCATCTCAAATTGTAATCCCCTCATGTCAAGACAGGGGCCTGGGTGGAGGTGACTGGATCACGGGAGCAGATTTCCGCATGCTATTCTCATGACAGTGAGTGAGTTCCAAGAGATCTGATGGTTTAAAAGTGTGTGGCACTTCCCTCCTTGTGCTCTCTCTCTCCTGGTGCCATGTCAAGAAGAACCTTGTTTCCCCTTTGCCTTCCACCATGATTTTCTGAGTTTCCTGAGTCCTCCCATTCATGCTTCCTGTAAAGCCTGAAGAACTATGAATCAATTAAATCTCTTTTCTTCATAAATTACTCAGTCTCAAGTCATTCTTTATATCACTGTGAAAATTGACTACTACGGTTAGCAATTTTAAAGAACACTTGTGACTTTGAGAATCAGGCACATATTTTTTTAATAATCGGACTGCTTATAATTGTTTAACTCCTTGCAACTTATAGTTAATGCCTAAAACTTTGATGACTTTCATTACATTTCAATGGCTCTGTTCCCTTATAGCAAACTACCATTTTTACTGTACTTACTGTAACTACAGTGCATTTATTTTCAGCCCAAATAGTATTCAGTAATAAGCATTTCTTCCCACATAAGAATAAGTTATATTCCTATTCACTATATTCTAGAATTTCTATTTTCCTTCCACAGTGCCAGCTAAAATTAAAGTGGAATAATCTATTGGGGCCCTGTGTATTTAATGTTTGTTTTCTTAGTATATTATAAACACTGTGAAGGAAGGAAATTCTTGCCTCTTGTTTATACTTTTATCTCCATTATAGAAACACTCTGCATTATTTTCTTACTGCTGCTGTAGCAAATTACTACAAAGTTAGTGGTTTAAAATAGCACAAATATAGTGTCAAACAACTGTGTTTGTCAGATGTCTGACATGCATCTTATGAGGCTAAAATCAAAGAGTGAGAACTGTTGTGTTCCTTTCTGAAGGTTTTAGGGGAAAATCAGTTTCCTTGACTTTTCCAGCCTCTAGAGGCTGTCCTGATTTGTTAGCTTGTGGTCTTTCATTTGTTCAAACCAGAAATGCTGTATCTCTCTGACCATTCTTTTGAAATCATATCACCTTATGTTTCTAGCCAAGAATGTTTCCCTATTTTAAACCCATTTGATTACACTGAACTCAAAAGGATACTTTTTCATCTTACCATCCTTAACATTATAATACTTGCAAAGCCCCTTTTACCAGATAAAGTTAACATATTCACAGGTTCCAGAAATCAGGACATGCGTTTTTTTTTGTTTGTTTGTTTGTTTGTTTGTTTCGTAAACCATTATTTTGCCTACTATACTGTCTTAATTGGAGGAAGCAACTTCTTCGAATAGGTAAATTAATTTCAAATTGATAATGTGGTGATTCTGAATGAACATTAAAGAAATCAACTATTACACCAAACATTACTTTATTGAGCTAAACAAATATTAACTGACTATATAAAATTCATTACACATTTGGAGATAGAATTTTGTACTTTTTAATAAGACTTTTTACATTTTTTGCAATCCTTTTTCTTATGTAAAAAATCAGTATTGTATTAGTACCCACAATATAAGTTTGTTCTAAGAATCAAATGAGATAAACATTTCAAACACCTATCATAGTATCAAGTTCATATCGTAAGCCTAAAATATCAGATGACTTTTATTATTTTCAGAATGTAGTCAAAATCAACATAAAATTACATTAACACTTGGTTTACTGTATTATAATGCTAGCTTTGTGTCATATCTATCTAGAGAGTAAACTGAATGGCTTAAACCAAGTAGAAGGTGATTTCTTGCTTACATATCAGTTTACCATAAGTAATTTTGGCTAAAGACGCATCTTTCCTGCAAAAAATAATTCAAGTTAATGAAGGATCTACTATTATCAAATTGTATCTTCCCAGATTACTTTGTATATATCACCATTCCAGAAGACAAAAGACTACTCATGAAATACAATTTGCACACTTCTTTATATATGAAAAATTCACTTCTCTTCACTCTGTAAACAACTTAAAGTTTTGCCCAGTTACTGCCTACAACTTAGAGTTCAGGATGTTTCATGACATGCAGTTCTCTCCCTTAGGCCACTATATGACTTAACGAGGACTAGTGTCCTATAAAGTCAAAAGACAAATTATCTGTAAAATCTAAGTTACCATGGTGAAGCTCCTATCAGAAGACAAAGAAGTCTGCATAGCACTGACAAAAATATTTCTGAGCAGTACAAATATTTATTTGATGAAACCATAAACATGTCCTGTGGAAGTAACTTTAAGGTCCATTGTCCCTGTGGCTCATAGATTTACTTTCTGAGGTAATTTACATTTTCTCTTATTCTCCATGCCTCCATCTTAAATTAGAACAATGAGTGTTTTCTCAGCATGACTAATCAATTGCACTGATTAGTGCAATTTGGGATGCTTGAGGATATTTTAAGCCTTAATTTTTTTCTCACAATAGGCTTATTATACCTTTACCAAGTAGTTATGTGGAAAACATTTATTTATTTATTGGATCTAGTTTATAACCAAACATACAGTTCTTTCCTAGGTATAATTCTAAAGTCTGCCTCATTTCCTTGTTTTTTCTCCTCCCCAACACACATATGCTTCTCTGACTGTAAAGATGACCACTTTAAGGTCATTTGAAATCATAGACTTGAAAGAGAAAACAACTTCCCTGATTAGTTCTTTGCTTCAGGGCTGGGTTCCTTGTTTTTTATGAACACAGTAGGATTTAATTTCTGAGCAGCTTTTTCAACCTAATCAGAAAAACCTGAGCTTTTCTGTCACTGTATAATTCCACCATTACTGGACTTTTTGTTTACAAGTGGTTTCCAACAAGGAATGATTTTGTTTCCAAAGAACACTTGTCAGTGTCTGGAGACATTTTGAATTATAATGATTAGGTGGTGATGCTACTGGTATGTAGTGGTATGGCCTAGAGATACTATTAATATCCTACAATGCAAAGAATAACCTCCCACCGAATGCAGGAGTATCAGGCATAAAATGTCAATAATGCTAAGGTTTAGCAACTCAACTCTATCCACTTTCTTTCCACTCTAAAAACAGGATATTTCTTTCTTTTTTTTTTTTTTTTTTTTTTTTGCCTGTGTTTATCTATTTCTTAGATTATGGAACAGAACAAACATGAACACATTACCTTTTGCCTTTCCTCATTTCCCACACTCTTTCCTTGAGTTAATATTAAGCTTCCAATTAATTTTAGATGGTAGTTTCAATAATTTTTTTTCACTGGGTATTACAAGTCTTCATTTCAACCCTCTGAGTTTGGTTTACTTGTCCATTTAATACTAATTTAGTGGATATGTTTTAGGTGCTGTTATGGCAGACCCAACTCAAGCTGATGATTTCTATATTACTTGGAATAGTGCTAGTTGCTTTGACAACTACACTCAACAACATATAATATCTTAAACAGAACAGAAGTTTCATTCATATAAACTGTTTTTTTTAAGATAGGAAAAGCATTGCTCCTTTATGTCCACATTCAAGAACATAGGCTACTAAGGTATTTAATCTGCAGTATGTTGCTTCCAAGACTACTGTAGAATTGGCCATTCCAGTCAAGCATACTGAAAAATGTATATAGAAGAGTACATGTTGGGATTTTGGAGACTAAATTGGATATAAAATATGTTATTTCTACTAATTTTCCACTATTTTGACTTTAATCTCATGCCCTAATATAAAGTATATAAGAATGAGAAATATAGTTTATGTATCTATCAAAATGGAACAGAAATGTTTGTGAACATTTGAATCTGTCAGCTTCTCTTGTTCATGTGCCTGTAGTGCCTGTACTCGGGATGCTGAGGCAGGAGAATCGCTTGAACCCAGGAGGTGGAGGTTGCAGTGAGCTGAGGTCACACCACTGCACTCCAGCCTGGGCAACAGAGCGAGACTCCATCTCAAAAAAAAAAAAAAAAAAGAAGAAAAAGAAGTGACTCAACTGATTGACGTGTAAAACCTCATTGTAAAATAATGTTTTATAAATGAGACATTAATACAGTTAAATTTTTGGATTAAAAAAGTCTGCCACTTTGTGAATATGTTTATTTAGGCTTGATTTAGTTAATTTTCTTTTTTCTTTTTCTTTTTTTTTTTTTTTTTTTTGAGGAGTTTCACTCTTGCTGCCCAGGCTGTAGCGCAGTGGTGGGATCTCGGTTCACTGCATCCTCCACCCCGCCAGGTTCAAGTGATTCTCCTGCCTTAGACTCCTGAGTAGCTGGGATTACAGGCACCCACCACCACACCCGGCCAATTTTTTGTGTTTTTAGTACACATGGGGTTTCACCATGTTGGCCGGGATGGTCTCGAACTTCAGACCTCAGGTGATCCGCCCACCTTGGCCTCCCAAAGTGCTGGGATTACAGGCATGAGCCACCGCACCCAGCCAGTTAATTTTTCTATTAACTAAGACCTAATTAAGATTGAGGCAGAAGAAATGGGTCCTTGGGATTTGAAAATTAGTATTCAATTTGGAAGTTTAATTTGCAACATAGATTGTTATTAAATTACTAGATATAATATCACAAAGGCGGAAAGAAAGGTTGCTTAGTTAAAGATCTAAGTTACTAGTCATGGTGTCAGATGTAGAGAATGATTGAAGGTTATTAGAGTCACACACCAGATGAGTAAATTGTTGTTTTCAAGGAAGAGGTTACATAAAGGTAAGCGGAGTAATATTTTAGCATTTTTGTTAATTAAAAATTTGTAAAGTTATTTCCATTTCAAGGAACTTACTCTCAGTAATTTTACGGGTAAAAAGACAAATTCCAAGTTTAATTTTCACATGTAACACCCTCCTTGAGCACTTATTTTTATAAAGCTATTAGTCTATTTTGGTCTCAATTTACGTTTCTTTAAAGAGATTTTAAAATTTTCTGAAAGAAGTTGGGATCTGGAAGTGTAGCTGTTCTATTTTTCAATTTTTAATTACATATTTAATTATCCTTTAATTACTTAAGGTTATTCTCAAAAGTGAAGAGATAGCTGGGATCACACTGCGTAAGATTTTACTCCTGAATGTAATATTCAAAAATGTTACAAAGTCTATCAAAGAGGTTTTCATTCTGCGACAATAGATGGTCAATTTGACATGGTCAGGAAGCACCACCCCCACTGACAGATACCAAATTATGGAGTAAACCACCGTAATTTAGGCAGATCTTGAGAGAGAAAATGCTGAGTGGATGGAGAGGCAGCAATGAAGCTGAGTTGAAGAGGGAGGAAGCCTGTGCAGGGAACCCAAACACTACAGCTAGTTCCCCAGAATGGCTCCTAGGAAATGGCCTCTGCCTGAGAGAGACCTGTGGCCTAGAACACCTAACACAAGAAACACAGTGATTGCAGGAGACTCCCCCAGGGCCCAGGAGCAGATCTGGTGATAGAGGCATCTCTCCCACCCCCACTATAGAGCACACCTGCAAACAAAAGGAAGTATAAAACAGCCATGCCACTGGGTATTAGGCTAGCCACTGGCCATTACTCTTAAGCACCATGCATTGGATCACATCCCAAACTACAACATCAAAATTTATCCTGCTACATATACATAACCTGTGAAACCAAACACAAGAATTACTCATACATAAAAATCCTGGACAGAGAAAGCCCTGGCACTTTGAAAGCATCCAGAAACAAAACCAATTGCCTATACTCAACATACACTACAGTTAATGGAACACTAACCCTACCAGAAGAGAAAAAATCAGTGCAAGAACTCTGGCAATTCAAAAAGCTAGAGTGTCCTCTTACCTCAAAATTAGCCCACTAGCTACCAAGAAATGGTTCTTAATCAGTCTAAAATAATTGCAACAGACATAGAATACAGAACCTCGATGGCAGGGAAGCTCATGAACATTAAGGAGAAAGTTGAAACCCAATCCAAGTAATCCACTAAAGCAATCTAAGTAAGTGCTGAAAGATGAAATTGCCATTTTAAAAAATAGCCACAGTGAATTTCTAGAGCAGAAAAAATTCAGTATAAGAATTTTATAATACAATAAGAAATATTAACAGAAGGTAGGCCAAGCTAAGGAAAGAATCTCAGAGCCCAAAGACTGGTTCGTTGAATCAACTGAGTCAAAAGAAAATTTTAAAAAAGAATTAAAAAAAGAAAATGAACCAAAGCTTTAAGAAATATGGAATTATATAAAGAGACCAAATCTACGACTCATTGTCATTCCTAGAAGAGAAAGAAAGAGAAAAGGCAACTTGGAAAATAGATTTGAGAATAGAGTCTATGAAAATTTTCCTAACCTCGCCAGAGAGAGTGACATGTAAATCCAAAAAATACAGCAAACCCAGCTAGGTACTATACAAGGTGACTATCCCTAAGGCACATAGTCATCATATTCACCAAAGTAAATACAAAAGAAAAAAAAAATCTTAAAGGCAGCTAGAGAGAAAGGTCATGTTTTCATACAGCAAGAACTCCACTAGGCTAGTAGTAAATATCTCAGCAAAAACCTTACAAGCCAGAAGAGATTAAGGGCCTATGTCCAACATCATTAATGAAAATAAATTCCAGGCAAGAATTTTATATTTCACTAAACTAAACTTCCTAAGTGAAGAAGAAACAAACTTCTTCTCAGATAATCAAATACTGAGGGAATCGATTTCAACTTGACCAGCCTTATGAAAGGTCCTTAAGGGAGTGCTATACATTGAGTAAAAAGAATGACACCTGCTACCACAAAAACTCACTTAAGTACATAGCTCACAGGCACTATAAAGTATCTACACAATCAAGTCTACCTAAAAACCAGGTACAAACATGATGATAGGATCAAAATCTCATGTATCAACATTAACCATAAATGTATATAGGCTAAACACCCCACTTAAACGACGTACAATGGCAAACTGGACAAAAATGCAAGGCTCACCATCTGTAGTCTTCAAGAGACCCATCTCATATGTAATGACAGCCACTGGCCCAAAATAAGGGGATAGAGAAAATCTGCCATGCAAATGATAACAAAAAAGCAGGAGTAACTATTCTTATATCAGATAAAACAGACTTTCATCAAAATTAAAAAGAACAATTGAAGAATGAAGAACATTATGTCATGAGAAAGTATATGATCAAACAAGAATACTTAAGTACCCTAAATATAAATGCACCCAACATGGAGCACCCAGATTCATAAAACAAGTTCTTTTTGGACTACAAAAAGACAGACGACCACCCAATAATTGTAGGAGACTTCAACACCCCCGCTGGCAGCATTAGATAATCAAAGCAGATAACTAAGAAAGAAACTGTGTACTTAAACTTCACACTTGACCATTTGGACCTAATAAGACATCTACAGAACACTCCACTCAATAACCACAGAATATACATTCTTCTCATCTGCACAGGGAACATATTTTAACATTGACCACATGCTTGGTCATAAAGCAAGTCTGGATAAATTTTAAAAAATGAAATAATATCAAGCACACTCTTAGATCTCAATGTAATCAAAATATAAATAAATATCAACATCTCTCAAAACTACACAAATAGATGAAAATTAAACAACTTTCTCCTGACTAACTTCTGTGTGAAAATCAAAATTAAGGGAGAAATTTTAAGAAAGTGAAATTAATGAAAATGGGAACACAAATTACCAAAATCTCTGGGATGCAGCTAAATCAGTGTTAAGAGGAACGTTTAAATGCCTTTATCATAAAGTTAGAAATATTTCAAATTAACAATCTAACACTACACCTAAAGGAACTAGGAAAAAAAAAAAGAACAACCCTACATCAACGCTAGGAATGAAAAGAAACAACTAAAATAGAGAAGATCTGAATGAAATTGAGATGCAAAAATCCATACAAAAGATTAATGAAACCAAGAGTTGATTTAAAAAAAGAGATTGATAGACCTTTAGCTAGATAAACAAAGAAAAAAAAGAGAAGATCTAAATATATAAATCAGAATGACAAAAACGACATTAAAAATGGTCCCACAGACATACAAAATAATCCTCAGAGAATACTAGGAATAACTCTAGACACAAAAATTAGAAAATCTAGAGGAAATGGATAAATTTCTGAAAACAGGCAATCTTCCAAGATTGAATCAGAAAGATACTGAAATACTGAAGAGACCAATATGAAGCTCTGAAATTGAATAAGTAATAAAAAATCTACCAAGCCAAAAAGCCCTGGACTATATGGATTCATAGCAAAATTCTACCGGAAGTATAAAGAAGAACTAGTACAATTCTACTGAAACTATTCCAAAAAAGTTGAAGAGAACGTACTCCTTCCTAACTCATTCTGTGAAGCCAGAATCAGCTTAATACCAAAACCTGGCAGAGACGCAAAAAAAAAGAACATTCAGGTGACCACTGTTGATGAACATAGACTCAAAAATTCTCAACAAAGTACTAACAAACTGAATCCATCAGCAGCATATCAAAAAATTAATCTACTATGACAATACAGGCTTTATTCCTGGGATGCATGGCTGGTTCAACATATGCAAATCAATAAATGTGATTCACCAGATAAACAGAATTAAATCAAAAACCATATGATCATCTCAATGGATGCCGGAAAAGCTTTCAATTAAATCCAGTGTCCCTTCATGAAAAAACAAAACAAAAAAAAACCCTCAACAGTTGAGGCTTCAAATAAGCATACTTCAAAATAAAAAGGAGCTATCTACAACAAACCCACAGCCAATATAATACTCAATGGGCAAAAGCTGAAAGCATTCTCCTTTAGAAATGAAACAAGCCAAGGACATCCACTCTTACCACTCCTATTCAACATAGTACCAGAAATCCTAGTCAGAGCAATCTCGCAACAGAAAAAGAGAAAAGCACCCAAATAGGAAGTAAAGATTAAGGCAAACTATCTGTCTTAACCCAACAATATCATTCTACACCTAAAAAACCTTAAAGACTTCAACAAAAGTCTACTAGAAATGATAAAGGATTTTAGCAAGGTTTCAGGATACAAAATCAATGTACAACAATTAGTAGCATTTCTATACAACAACAACATCCAGGTTGAGAGTTAAATTAAGAACACAATCATATTTACAACACCTAGGATGAAAATAAAATCCCTGCAAATACAACTAACCTAAGATGTGAAAGATCTCCACAAGGAGAATTACAAAACACAGCTGAAATCTGAAGCTGGATGCAGTGGTTCATGCCTTTGGGAGGCCGAGGCAGGTATATCGCTTGAACCCAGGAGTTTGAGACCAACCTGGGCAACATAGTGGAACCTCATCTATACAAATTTTTTTTTTTTTTTAAATAGTGAGGCATGGTGGCACATGCCTGTAGTCCTAACTACCCTGACGGCTTGAGGCCAGGAGTTCAAGCCTGCAGTGAGCTATAATAACTCCACTGCATTCCAGCCTGGGTGAAAGGGTGAGACCCTGTCTCAAAAAAGGAAGGAAATAAGAAAAGGAAGGAAGGATGGAAGGAAGGGAGGGAGGAAGGGAGGGAGGAAGGGAGGGAGGGAAGGAAGGAAAGAAGGAAAGAAGGAAGGAAGGAAAGAAGGAAGGAAGGAAGGAAAGGAAGGAAGGAAGGGAAGGAAGGAAAGAAGGAAAGAAGGAAGGAAGGAAAGAAGGAAGGAAGGAAGGAAAGGAAGGAAGGAAGGAAGGAAAGGAAGGAAGGAAGGAAGGAAAGGAAGGAAGGAAGGAAGGAAGGAAGGAAATTTTGATAACACAAATAAATGGAATAACATTCCATGTTTACAGATTAAAAGAACCAATATTGTTAAAATGGCCATACTGCCCAAAGCAATTTGTAGATTCAAGGCTATCTCCATGAAACTACCAACATCATTCTTCACAGAATTAGAAAAAACTATTCTAAATTTATACGGAACACCCCCAAAAGCCAGAATGGCCAAAGCAATTCTGAGCAAAAATAATAAAGCCAGAGAGGCATCATACTACCCAATTTCCAGCTATACTATAAGTGTACACTAACCATGATACTGTTACAAAAGCAGACACTTAAGCCAATGGAACAGAACACTCAAAACTAAAGCTGCACACTTACCACCATCTGATCTTGGACAAGGCCAACAAAAACAAACAATGGGGAAAAGGCACCCTATTCAATAAATGGTGCTGGGATAATTCGCTAGCCATAAGCAGAAGAGTGAAACTGGATGCTTACCTTCCACCATACACACAAATTAATTCAAGATGGATTAAAGGTTAAAATGTAAGACTTCAAGTTATGAAAACTCTAAAACAAAACCTAGGAAATATTTTTCTCGACGTTGGCCTTGGCAAATAATTTTTGGCTAAGTTTCTAAAAACAACTGCAACAAAAACGAAATTGACAAGTGAGAGTCAATCAAACTAAAAAGCTTCTGCACAGCAATAGAAACTATCCACAGAGTAAACAGACAACTTACAGAATGGGAGAAAATATTTGCAAACTATGAATCTGATAAAGATCTAATATAACAAATCCATAAGGAAGAAAAAATGACAAGCATAAAACAACCCCAGTTAAAAAGGGCAAAGCTAATACAGGAGCAGAAAATCAAACTCCGCATCTTCTCACTTATAAGTGGGAGCTGAACAATGGGAACACATGGACACAGGGAGGGGAACAACACACAATGGGGAACAACACACAACACACACTATAATTTTCTGTAGGGGGTTGAGGAGAGGGAGAGCATCAGGAAAAATAGCTACTGCATGCTGGGTTTAATACCTAGGTGATGGGTTGATAGGTGCAGCAAACCACCACCACACACGTTTATCTATGTAACAAAACTGCGCTTCCTGCACATGTACCCCAGAACTTAAAATTTAAATCAAGAAAAGGCAAAGGACATGAACAGATATTTTCTCAAAAGAAGACACTCAAGTATATGAAAAAACACTCATCCTCACTAATCATCAAATAAATAAATGCAAGCAAAAACCACAGTAAGATGCCAACTCACATCAGTCACAATAGCTATAATTAAAAAGTCAAAAAATTAGATGTTGGCCAGGCTGCAGAGTAAAGGGAATGCTTATACACTACTGTTGGTGGAAATGTAAACTGGTTCAGGTACTGTGGAAAGTATTTTGGAGATTTCTCTAAGAACTTAAAACAGAGATACCCTTCCACCCAGCATTCCCATTACTGGGTATATATTCAAAGGAAAATAAATTATTCTACCAGAAAAATATATATGCACTCGTATGTTCATCAGCATGTTATTCACAATAGCAGAGACATGGAATGAACCTAGGTGCCCATCAACGGTGGATTGGATAAAGAAAATGTGGTACATATACACTATGGAATACTATGCCTCCATAAAAAAGAATGAAATTATGTCCTTTGCAGCAACATGGATAGAGCTAAGGACATAATCCTAAGCAAATTAGTGCTGGAAAAGAAAACCAGATACCACACATTCTCACTTATAAGTGGAACCTAAACATTGAACACACAGGAACATTAACATGGGAACAAGACATGCTGCAGGCTATGGGGGTGGGGGAGAGAGGGGAGCATGGGCTGAATAATTACCTACTGGGTACTATGCTCACTACCAGGGTGCACTGTACAAAAGTAACAAATCTGCATATGCACTATCTGTGTCTGAAAAAAACTGAAATTATAAAAACCAAGAGAATATGTTTCTAATGAATGTAGACTTTATTTGATGGACTGGATTAGAATATAATATTTTTTTAAGGGGAAAGGCATTGGGGGATGCACAATGTCTACAGGTTTCTAAATCTCTCTGGTTTCTCACCTAATTCATAGTCTCTTATGTCATTCTCATAGTTTTCATATTCTGCCTTTCCACCTCTTCTTTTTAACAAGTAAAATTCCTCATAGCATACAAAAAACCAATTTTATAAAAAACCCATATTATAGATCAGGGACCTGTGGATTATATGCTATTAGAACTATACAAAATGTCTCTATATAGTTTTCTGTATCTTTGGAATATCTTTGGGTGAAGCTGCAGACCTTCTTGGTGAGTGTTACAGCTCTGTGCAGAGCCAAACAGTGAGCAGCAGCAAGATTGCAAAGAGCAAAAGAACAAAGCCTCCACACTGTGGAAAGGGACCCTAGCACGTTGCTGTTGCTGGCTGTGGCAGCCGCTTTTATTCCCTTATCTCACCCCACCCACATCCTGATGATTGGTCCATTTCATAGAGAGCTGATTGGTCTGTTTACAATCCTTTAGCTAGACACAAAAGTTCTCCAAGTCCCCACCAGATTAGCTAGACACAGAGCACTGATTGGTGCGTTCACATACCTTGAGCTAGACACAGCATGCTGATTGGTGCATTTACAATCCTCCAGCTAGACGTAGTAAGTTCTCCAAGTACCCACCGGACTCAGGAGCCCAGCTGGCTTTGCCTAGTGCATCCCGGCCGCGGGCGGAGCTGCCCGCCAGTCTCTGGCGCGCTCCCGCACTCCTCAGCCGTTGGGCGGTTGACGGGACCGGGTGCCGCGTAGCAGGAGGTGGCGCCCGTCCCCTCGGGGTGGCGCGCGGGAGCCCGCGGTTGGGGGGCGGGGGGCAGGGGACGGGGGCGGGGGGCAGGGTGAGGGCTCCAGCATGGCAGGCTGCAGGTCCCGAGCCCTGCCCCCTTGCCCCGCGGGGAGGTGGCTGAGGCCCAGCGAAAATTCGAGCGCGGCGCCGGCGGGCCATCACTGTTGGAGGACCCAGTGCACCCTCCGCAGCTGTTGGCCCGGGTGCTAAGCCTCTCACTGCCCAGGGCCGGCGGCGCCAGCCGACCGCTCAGAATGCGGGGCGCGCCGAGCCCGCGCCCACCCGGAAGTCGCGCTGGACCTGCGAGCACCGCAGGCAGCCCAGGT
Organism: Homo sapiens; assembly: GCF_000001405.40. Taxonomy (NCBI): domain Eukaryota; kingdom Metazoa; phylum Chordata; class Mammalia; order Primates; family Hominidae; genus Homo; species Homo sapiens. The sequence goes on along the minus strand of NC_000005.10, from coordinate 21,341,413 downwards.
TCCGGCCCGCGCCTCTCCCTCCACACCTCCCCGCCAGCAGAGGGAGCCCGCTCAGGCCTCAGCCAGCACAGGGAGGGGCTCCCACGGTGCAGCTGCGGGCTGAAGGGCTCCTCAAGCGCGGCCAGAGTGGGCTGAGGCCGAGGAGGCGCGGAGAGCCAGCGAGGGATGCCAGCAAGCTGTCACCTCTCAGAAATACAGGAAGAACATCAATAATGTTCGAAGTTATAAAGTAGGTTTCTATCAAGAATAAAACATAAACGATCAAAGAATTCCTTATAAAAACATTTTTTATTTCTAGGAATCAAAACATAAATATAAAATTTGAGAGTCCACCAAAAAAAATTAGATGCCAGATTTCACTATAATTATCAGGGAAGCGCCCAAACGGGTTGTTTACGGCGCCTCGGGGAAACTTTCTGTTTCGTGTTAAGGGTCTTGAACCATGATGTTTAGAAAACCATGGGCTGATGCTTTCAGAACCTCTGTGATTGTTGCCTCTGACACTGCATCCAATAGACTAGCATGTTGATTAGGGAAAGCTAAATTCAATAAAATACGACTGTTAAGTGGGGTCACCACCTTGAGGGGTTATGTTAGAAAAGTAGATGATAAGGTGGTATTGATAGAGTATTGAAGTCTGGGCTCAAATGGTTGCCCGGGGCCTTTCAAGACCAATGACTGATAAGAATAGGTAATGTTCAGGACATAGAGTTTAGGATTGGGGGACACTGTGAGTTAAGGGCCATGACAGAAGTCTTCATAAGTAAACTGTTATTGACACAAGCTGCTACCTGCCCAGGTGAGCAATCTGTTGGCCCAGAGGAGAGTTGCTTACTGACATAAATTGATTTGCAGAAATTTCCTGAAGCAAACAATAAGTTATTTATTGGTTTGCAGCCTTACTTTCCTGAAAAATAATTTTCTGGAATGAATTGTGAAATCGTGTTGACACAGATGGCCTCAGGTTTCAGTTCGGATAATTAAGCTGTGTAAATATAGAAAGTCTAAGGTTTCTGTGTGCTGTTGAGTCACAGTATGCAACAATGATCATATTACTTTTATTTACTATGAGCTTCAGCTGAAAGTCCAAAAGAAACTTTAATTTCAGATATTTAATGAAATCATTATAGCTGTGGTAATTTCCTTTAGCTGGGTGTGAGTGTGTGATGTGAGCGTGTGATGCGTGTGTGTGTGTGTGTGTGTACTCTGGCAGCATATTCCAAATAATTTCTGTAAAATTTCAGTTTGAAATTAATAGAAGACATATTAAATTGTTTAAACTCTTTGTTATTTAAATTCTATATTACTTTAGTTGATTACTCTGTATTATTACGGCAAAGCTTTGATATGTTGCCCTGAATTTAAATGAAAAGGCTGTTCGGCATAAAAACAGGAATATTTTATTACCAAAAAGAATTAACTACCATATGTCATTTACAGAAAAGAGTAAATTCTTCAGGGCATAGAAAATACACATTTCCTTCTGTTTGTGTGGAAATAAGCAAAATACCTGTTATAATAGATTCCTCACAGAATTTTGTAAAGCTTCAGGTAAACTTGAAAGAGAAAAATTAAAATGCTAGAGTTTCATAATTACAAATTGGGATATAAAAATAGAATAATTATTTGAATTTTGTATTTCTCTCCAGGGGATCAAAAGTAATATATAAACTTTTAATAAATATTGATATAGCTTCACGTTGACTCCATATGTGAGCAATTTGCTTTCTGTTAAATTCACAATTGCATAATTTTTTTCAGGCTGGAATGCACTTGGATACCAGAGATTTTGATTTCTTAATGTGAAATAAGGTGATAATACATTCCAAAGTATATATTTTTTCAACTTTGAATATATCTGGTGTATTTGGAGTAATATCTGAGTAAATACACTTATATGTAAGAGAATCAAAGGAATAAGATATTATTTTATATCCAAGGAAATTAAAACACTTAGAACATAAATACGTATTGCATTACTTCATATTAAAGAAATGTTTTACAAAAGAAAATAAAGGAGCTTATTTTATAGCCCCATTTCCACAAATAATAGCAAAGGTACATACACATATCTAATGTTTTACACACTCATTATTGTTTCTCTTAAAATTTGTTGCTTATACTATTTTAAAAAGCAAGCCTATAGATTGTTGTGTGTATATACATATACACACAACATATATATATGAGTATATATATATATATATATATATATATATATATATATATATAGCAGCAAGCAAGAGAATGAGCCTCTTCCTACTGAGGTTTAACATTTGCATGTATACGTATATTTTGATTCACATAGACTTATTGTTCTTTAATTATATGAACAGTGATTCCTGGTTACATTATTGGAAAATGGAAGCAATGCTCAAAGAGCATCACCTAAATTTCCATCATATTTTGCTCTCAATATATTTTGTACATCCAAATATATTGTGATTAATCTGCATACATTTTTGCTGTTCTAGGTGATGCTGATATGAGGCTAGGTAATACACGACCTTAGTCTGCATGTTGTACTTGTGTAACACACATAATTTTACAGTGCTAACAGGTGCTATAATAACTAACTATAGTTAATGATGAATGAAAGAAGGAAGATGTTAAGATGTTAGGGAAGGACTCAAAAGATGCAGTGCTTGAGTTAGAATTTTAAGGGAGATTATGCAAAAGCAGTCACTTAAGGTGGGTTGGGGTAATCTAGAATGTGGGAATGAGGTATGCAAAGTCACACAGGAGAGATACAGCATGCATGTTTAGAAAATTGTTAATTACATATGGAAAGTTTGCAGGACTTGCATCCTAGAATGTCAGGATTTTAAGCTAAGTAGGGTTCAAATTAAATTTTTCACATACTTCGCTGCATTATAATAACTAGTTTATGTTTAACTCATCCACTAAACTAAGTTATTTGAAAAGAGATGCCAGTGTTCACTCAATCTAGTTGTCTGTCATTAATAATTTAAAAATAGGCCGGGCGCGGTGGCTCACGCCTGTAATCCCAGCACTTTGGGAGGCCGAGGCGGGCGGATCACGAGGTCAGGAGATCGAGACCATCCCGGCTAAAACGGTGAAACCCCGTCTCTACTAAAAATACAAAAAATTAGCCGGGCGTAGTGGCGGGCGCCTGTAGTCCCAGCTACTTGGGAGGCTGAGGCAGGAGAATGGCGTGAACCCGGGAGGCGGAGCTTGCAGTGAGCCGAGATCCCGCCACTGCACTCCAGCCTGGGCGACAGAGCGAGACTCCGTCTCAAAAAAAAAAAAAATAATAATAATTTAAAAATAATTGAGATTTTAATTTTGGTCTGCTAAGCCTGTTTAATTAAAATTTGACATTAAATAAGATTTTACAGGCTTCTAATTTTTTTTTCAGTCATCACAGTTTGAATATTAAACATTACTACTTTTATCTCCCTCAGTCAGCATAAAACATACTACTTATGGTTTTAATAACCAAATTCAATGAGCACCAACAAAATTTGATGTAACTATTAACTTTGAAATTTTATTGAAATAGAACTATGCCTTGGGTATCATTCAAAGCATTTAATTGTTGCAATAAAAAACTTTGAGATAAATTGAAATGATGGACAATATGGGTCGAAAGCAACATTGGCTTGAGGGAAAAGGCTAATGTTTGAGAACGGAATTGTTAATGACAAGATTGGATGTTTATATTATTTTAGGAAAGATACACTCTAATGGAGTTTAATTCTAAAATGTTTAATATTATGAAAATATTATATATTATATGATCATTATAGAAAATTAAAAATATAAGAACATCAGAAGCAAAATAGTCAAAGTCTACCTAAACCCAATTAGAAGTGAATACTATTAATCTTGATTTGCATGTTTCTAATCTTATTATTATCAAATTAATAAACAGCTTTCAGATATTCTGCTTCCCCCTGTTACTAGATCAGGATAATGTCATTTAAGTACAGGCATCTCCTGCTTACTCAGTTCAGCATTGATCAATAAATATTTTAGACTTCCATTCAAAACACTTCCATTTTTCTTTTGCCCATATTCTTTTTATTCAGTGCTACCTATTTTCAAATACACAACACTTTGTCAAACAAATTCCAACATTAGATTGGATATAGTTGGTATCAAAGTAGTAATACACATTGCCATTCCTAATCCTCAATGCATTGATCCTGAAAATTATTTGTAAGAATAGAAAAATACTGGATATTTCAAAATAAGTCTCATTTTGTTGCTTACACATGAAAGACTGGAATTAACCGACATAACCATTACAAGGTGATTGAGCAAATGAACAGATGGAAAATATTATAGAAACTTTACTGCAGTTCATCAACCATTGTGGTCATTAGGCCATAGGAAAATACAGTGTGATAGTACCCCTGTCTTCTTTTCCATTTGTTAAGTCTCATATCCAAGTAACAGTGGATAGACCTTATGAGAATACAAAGTGAGATAAAAATAATTTTTGGCTTTTCAATGTATCTTATTTGATCTAAGAGGTATTTCCCCGACTTTGATGCAATAATTATTGTCACAAAATTTGACTTTATTAAAGACCATTTTAAGGATCTTTGCAGCTGACAGCAGTGACTTTTTTACCTCCTACAAAGTTTCAACTGACAGTCTTATTGTCTCTGACTTTCCCAAATTAATGACATAATTAGTCACCAGGGCTTTGGCTGCTCAATAGGGATTTAGTAAGCAACGAGTCATATGTTGGGGAACACTTCAACAAACAAAATATTGGCAGAGAAAGATGTATGAATCAGCTAGGAAGAAACACTATTCTATCATTGAGGATCTTTCTAATATTAGATATCACAGAAAAATTTTCATATAGATTACCATATGAATGAGCCAAAATCTCTAGGAACAAAAAAGCTGAGTATAATTATAACTCCTTGCCATGATTTAACTTAAAATTTCTTTACTTATTTAGCAATTCTATAAACAAGAATCATTTCTGTTAAGGATACTAAGGAGAGTGTTCCTATTGAATCAGAACATTTAAAAGAAATAATTGAGGAACTCACCATGTAAAACGTCATTAACCAAACTAAAATAAAATGTGAGGGCATAAACTTAACCAGAAATGTTTAAAACCTATATATAAAAAAACTAGAAAACACTTCTGAATGGCACACATTTGGACTTGAGCACGGGGAAAGAAATTCCATGCTCTTGAAAAAGCCTTAAAATCATAAATGTGCCAGTTCTTTAAATAAACTTATATCTTCTATGTCATAACAAAACAATATTTTCTAGAATTTCTTTTTCCAGATTCAGAAAAATAGACAAATTTACTTGGAGGAATAAAGAAGCAAGAATAGCTAGAAATATCCTATAAAATCAATGGAATTTGGAGTCAATACAAAATATTAAGCAATTCTTAAAGCTTCTATGATTAAAATGAGTTATAAATACAGATAGATGAAGATCATATAGAAAATCAAGACATTGACAGATATGGAAAGGTGGTATATAATGAAAACATTTCAGATCAATGAGGGGGAAATGTTAACTGGAAAAGAATATTAAAAAGGCAATGAACTCAATAAGACAACAAGAAGCAAACCACAGAAAAATAACTGGACAGGATTAAAAAGAAAATATTTTAGACACTTCAAAAATAAAATATTCAAATAACCAATGAACTTATTAAAAGGTTTTTATTTATATTGGTTATCTGAAAAAATAATTCAAACCACAATGAGATGTAAGTACTTGTCATTCAGAATCCTGAATTTGAAAGGAATATTTTAGAATTCTAAGTTGAAGAGAAAATGCAAAGTATTGATGAGAATGTTGACTAATTAGAACACTCAAATTGATGTTATTGGCATAACTTAGTTCAAATAATTTGGATAAAGATATGTATTAGGCCCCAAAATTCTGTTTGTAAAGATGTTTCTCCAGAAATGCATGCATATATATAGCTAAAAAAAAATGTGTACTCATGAAAACACTTTTCAGAATAACACCAAAATAACCCCAAACTGTGGGCCAAAAGTAGACTAAAATACTTATAAAGAGTACAGTAAACAAATAAGTTGTAATATGATCACCTAATAAAATATTAGAGGAATAAATGTAAATAGTTTCATTTGCAGGTCATATAATCAATTAGTCTCACAAATAAAATATTAAGCAAAAAAATGTGGTTCAAAACACTACTCACACTATTTGATTCCTTACTGGTAAAAGTTAGAATAGTGTTATGTTAGGAGGGATGGGTGGAAATCAGGTGTGTGACTATTACATTTTCTTATTCTGGATGATCATAGTATTTTAAAACTCACTAAGCTTTAAACTTATGTGCATTTACCCATGTGTATACAATACTTTAATAGAAGCTTCAAATCAATGAGAAAATATAAAACTGTCTGATGGAAAAATAGCTTGAGGAAATGAACAGGTATAGCAGAAAAGAAGGGCTGCATATAGTTTAAAAACTTGAAGAGATGTTTAATCTCTTTGCAAATAGAAAAACATACGCATTTAAATTGAAATACCATTTTCATTTTCCAAAGTTAAAATTATTGGAAATATGATGGTATACAGTGATGGTAATATGGGAGAAAGGAAACATCCTAGGCAATTTGGCTAAGCTTTTCTGAGAAAGATTTAGGCAATATGCCATTAAGATTTAATGTCAACAAATGGGAAATTTGCCCACATAAATAAATGGAAAGATACTCTATTTTTCAAAATTTAATCTGAAAATACCTAAGCCCCTGATATTTTTCTAAAAACTGGAATGTCCCTTTGGTCATTGGGTTTTAGAGACATAATTTTCACTGTGATGTTCATAATTTTAAAAGGTTGCATCATCCATTTTTAGTTAACATATATTGTACTAACATCACATATCTATGTAATAGAAAAATAGAGTCAATTCATGTAGGGACAGACATGAAAATGACAAATACATATAGAGATAGAAAGGTATCTTGTGCATTATACTGAGAAAGACAATAGAAATAAACAATTTACATGGGTTGATTTAATTAAGATATATAAGTGGTTAGATAAATGTTAAATAGGTCAGTATGTAATTACAGAAAATGACAAATTGTTATGTATGGTACATTTGCAGGCATAACACAGACATTACATTTTGGAAAATTGTGTTCTATGCAACAGTGCCAAGTCTAATGAAAGTAAGAGGAAGAGGAATTCAGCCAAAGTACCAACCCCTGTTATCCATTCCTTAAGAAAGGAACTTCTTTATACACTCAAAAGAGGGGATTCTTTTTAAATTTGTTTCCAGAGGGGCATCTGCATACACATACACATGCACACACACACACATTTACATTATATTTAAATGTGTGTGCATGATATATACATGTATTTATTTATTTAATATATATGTGTTATCCAGGTCCTATATAGGAACACACACACACACACATTTTGAATCAAACACTCTTTCGTATAATTTTGGTGACAAATGTATGCAATAAATGAGAATACTTTAACTTTCCAAAAAGCTATTCAAAAGTATAATTTTCAAATAAAATATATGTTTGTATGACAACAAATGATTTTTTATAAATAATATATTCTGCATTATCAATCTGCCACTGGTTTTTATTAAATAAAAAAACCCATAAGTTTGTATGCTCCTAAAATACATATAACATTTGTAAGAATAGTTTTTATGTAAAAATGATTATAGTTCACTATAACTATGTTAAAAATAGACATAGCCAGGCAAGTCGCTCATGCCTGTAACCCAGCACTTTGGTAGGCTGAGGCGGGCAGATCACTTGAGGCCAGGAGTTCAAGACCAGTCTGGCCAACATAGCGAAACCCCATCTCTAATAAAAATACAAAAATTAGCCGGGCATGGTGGCCCATACCTTGTAATCCCAGCTACTCAGGAAGCTGTGGCAGGAAGATTGCTGGAACCCGGGAGGCGGAGTCTGCAGTGAGACAAGATCATGCCACTGCACTCCAACCTGGGTAACAGAGTGAGACTCTGTCTCAAAAAAAAAAAAGAAAGAAAAGAAAAAAATAGACACAGATGAAGGGTGTCTTTGATTATGCAAATAGATTACCCATCTTGTACTCACTGTGTTTATTTCAATAAATGATCCACAGAATATGCTACTTTTGATTTATAGTTTTCTTCTCCTTCACCACTGTGGACTGGGAAAATATTTCTTATTATTTCTGCTGCAGAGTAGCAAAAAATTATGAGCCAGAAGGAAGACCACTACAACAAGCAAAATCTCTGAGTAATCATAAAATGAAGAACTATTTCCTGTTGGGATTCATTGTGACGAATTTGATTTTAAACTCTTGGTGTTGGCATTTTATTTTTAAAATTTAGCTTTCTTGCCTATTCTGAAATTGTCAAAAATTCAGAAAAGCAATCATGATCATTTGCTTGCTGATCAATGGAGACCTAATGATTTTTTAGGCTGTGAGTCTACAGTAATAAATGAATAAATAAAAAAGTTGATACTTCCTTCTATCGAGGGAAATTGAGCATTTTTCTCATAGTCCTAAATCACCAGATCAAGGGATATATGTAATGCTTGAGTGTTGACATTTTATTAATTTTTATATTTAACTAGAGCTGTAAAGTTGAAACAAATGGGTCAATGCAATAGCCCATAAAATATTTTAAAAACACAAAAAAGAAATATCACTAAAATTTAAACATAAAAAAAATACAAAAAAACCCTGAGCTATAGGAAGGGAAGTATCCTCTAAATGCCCAAGTTGAAGGTAGTCCTCTTAGAAAGGCAGAGTAAGAAGCAGTGTTTGATGGGAACGTGATTTTTCAAGTATTTTGAATTTTCAAACTCACCACATTAACTGAGTAAAATGAAAAAAATATATAAACTTCCTCTGAGGCAGAAAAAACATTTGGCATTTTCAAGATAGAATTATAATAAAAATATCTCGCCCCAATAGAATACAAAGAAGCATCCTTAAGCAAATAGAAGGCATCTATGGAAATATCACACTGAAGTTTGAACTAATAAATTATTCATTTAAGATCCAGAAGAAGACAAAGTGTCCTCTTTCACTATTGTTCTCTCTACTGTATGGGAGGAATTAACCAGTGAGACAAATCAAATAAATAAGTAAAACATACACAGTTAAGAAATGAAAAATACAATTCTAAATTTTTAAACAACTCCATTACCTATACATAAACTTCTAGTGACTGTAAAAATCAGCTGCTGGAATAAACTAGTAATTTTAGCCACATCATAGAAAAAATAAGTCAACCCATTAACTTATTTCTATATATTTCCAATGAGCAATTAATGATAAAAATCAAATCCATGTAAAATACTAATAAAAATAAAATATGTATATATGATTTTAACAAATTACATGCAAGATCTCTCTAAATAGGAAACTAGCAAAAGTGTTGGGAGATGTAGGAAAGTTCTAAATAAATGGAGTCACATACAATAATTGATGGTTTTGATGTGTGTCCCTGCCCAAATCTGATATGATGTAATCTCCAATGTTAGAGGTGAGGCCTGGTGGGAGGTGATTGGATCATGGGGTGGATTTCTCATGAGTGGTTCAGCATCATCCCTCTTGATATTGTTCTCATAATAGTGAGTGAGTGAGTTCTCATGAGATCTGGTCATTTAAAAGTGTGTAGCACCTTCCCCTTTCACTCTCTTGCTGTTCTGGCCATGTGGCGTGCCTGTCCCCCTTTGCTTTCTGCCATGATTGTACATTTCCTGAGTCTTCCCAGAAGCTAAGTAGATGCCAGCATCATCCTTCCTGTATAGCCTGCAGAACAGTGGGGCAATTAAACCTCTTTTCTTCATAAATTGTTGAGTCTTCTGTATTTCTCTATAGCAATGCCAGAACAAACTAATACAATAATCATGGCTTGAAAGTTCAGTGAATTTTAGTGTGTAAAAGGTTTTGGTTTTTCCAAATTAATCATTCTAGAAATCCTCACCATAATCACAAAAGATATTTTTATATAAATTGACACACTGATTTAAAAATGTACATCAAGAGAGCAAAAACAAATGATAAAAAGCTGAAAAAAAAGTTGGAATACTCACACTTCCTAACACCATGCAATAACTTAAAGCTATAGTCATCAAGAGAATGTGTTATTAGTATATGGATAAACAATTAGAGTAATGGAATGGAATAGAGTTCACAAATAGATCCATGCTTATATGAATAATATAATATCAAAGATACTGCAGTTATTCAAAGGGGAAAGATAATTTTATTTAACAAAGTGTGCAGAACTATGAGATAAATGTGAAGAAAACAAACCTCAAGTCCTTCCTCACAACAAAAGCATGAATGAGTTCAAAATTAAATGAGTCCAAAATATATTATGGAACAATATGTAAAAGTGAAAGCATAGGCTTCAAATATAAAGCACAGAAAATGTCTTAGTAAACTACATGAAAGCATTTCTTTTTATCCAAACTGTGGAGAAATTTGTTTTTATTCAGAAAGCAATAATTATATAATGATAAACTACAGAAATGTATAAATATATTTATATTTTAATGTTTATTTTTAATTACACAATTATATATACTATTTATTATGAATAAGAGCAAGAATGTATAAATATAATGTACAACATGGAAACAAGAGAACTATAAAAACTAACAGATGCTACACAAAAATGATATAATAGCAAATAAGCAAATGAAAAATTTCTTAATATCATTAGTAATAAAAAATAAAATGAGATAATTATACACATCTACTAGAAAAGCTACTATTTTAAAAATTGTGTTACCAATATTTGGCATAGATGTCAAGAAACCACAATCTAGAGTTTGCATACATTGACGGTGGGAGTGTAACACAGTATAGCTACTTTGGATAACTAAATCTACCTTACATGTACCAATTCTACCCCTAGGCATTTATCCTAGGGGGGAGAAAAGCATAAGTCTATAAAAAGGCTTGCACAAGTACCTTTATTCGTTATTGTCAAAAACAGACACCATGCAACTGTCCACCAAGAGCGGCGTTCTCAAGTTCAGCACTATTAGCTGTTGAAGTGGCTTAATTCTTTGTTGTGCGGAGCTATCCTTTGTGGAACCCTGGCCTGTGCACACTCCATCCCCTCCTCCACAAACCTCTGATAACCAAAAGTGTCCCCAAACATTGGAAATGTCCCCTGGCAGGTAAAATGTCCCTCATTTGAGACCCTCTGGTCAAGAGTTTAGTAAATAAATTATAGTGGTATGTCTATGAAATGAAATAATATGTAACAAAAAAAAAGTGCTACTTAAACATGCAAGAAATTGTTGAATCTCAAAAATATTATGCTTAAGGAAAAAAGACAAAAATAATTCATACTCTATAATTCTACTGATACATAATTGTAGAAAATAAAAGCTAATATATGGTAATAAAACCAGATTAGTACTGGATTGACAATGTGTTGAAAGTCAAAAGAAGAGGCTTGAGATCTCTCTATAGTGTGATAGTTTTACAAGTATATACATATGTTAATGTTTAAAAATTTCACACCTCAAAAAAGTGCAGTATACCAGATGTTAATTATATCTCATAAAGCTATTAAAATTTTATCTCAAAATTATAGCTTTATTGCATTTAAGGCATTAGCCAATTTTGAATCTAATCCAGTTATCATAGCTTAATGCAGTATTATGAAAATAATGCCTATAAAGGTCCAGTTCCTCAAACACCCTTGGAGCCAGTTTTGTCATCTATATTAGTTACCTTGGGCTGCTATAATAAAGTACCACAAGCTGTGTGTCTTTAAGCAACAGAAATTTCTTCTCTCACAGTTGCGGAGGTCAGAAGTCAGAAAACAAGGTGTCTGCAGGACCAACCTCTCCTCTGGATGCTCTAGGTGAGAATCTTTTCCATGCCTTTCTCTTAGCTTCTGATGTTGCCATCAGAACTTCAGATGGTGTTCCTTGGCTTCTGTTAATATTAATACATAAATCCTTTTCAGTCTCAGCTTCTGTCTTCACATGGTCCTCTCCATATCCTATCTGTTTCTGTTCCCTCTTCTTATAAAGATAACCCATGTTGTTTTAAGTCCCACCTAAAGACCTAATTTTAGCTTGATTACATCTGCAAAAACTTTGTGTCCAAATAAGGTTTCATTTACCTTGTGTGTATAACTAGGGGTTAGGGCTTGAACATACGGGTTTGGGGAGGGGAACACAATTCAGACCATGACACTCATTGTTTCACTCATTAATGAGTTAAGGGTGCTTTGATATTATTACATTTGAATGAGAGTGGTTTTTAAAATTACATTTTGTCGCGTAGTTTGTTCCACCCTGATGCTTAAAGGGAGTCACCTGCCTCAGCCAATTAAACTGTGTTGTCTCTGCAGTGCGTTTTATCACAAGAACATGACCTTTAAGCACAAGAACACCTTGTATTCCACCACTAAAAACAGAAATGACATCTACCTTCACTGCTTCCCTATTTCTCTCCATCTTTACTGACTTGGTATTTTGTTGTTGCTGTCATTTCTGGTTGTTGGTCAATTTTCATTTCTATTCTTATTTTGCTGATAATTCTTATAAATCAGTGCTGAATTTTGTCAAATTATTTTTCTGCATCTCTACAGATGATCATTTTATGTTTTTGTCTCTGTGATAATTTGGTGAATGTCATTGATCAATTTTTAAATAATGAATATCTTTGCATTTAAGATAATATTTTTCACTATTAATGTTATCTCTGAAATGAAAGCTAAACCTAGTCAATAGATATTAGAGGTGCATGATTTTTAAAATTGTATAAAATTAGATAAAAAATACAAAGAAATATATATAATTTTAAAACCATGTAAAAATGTAAATGCCAAATGATAGAGCATTAAATGAAGCTTGTAATATTAAATACAATCTTTAGAAACTCTTTTGCAGTGCAGGAAAAAAATAGAACTGAAAACAAACCAGAAGAAATCACAGATATAAAATTAAAGAGGATAGAATTAAGCACCTGAGTTCCCACATCTAAAGTGAAAATCTAAGAATTTAAATATCATTCAAATACAGACTAAAATACAATATAAAATAAAATTTCCTGAGCTAATTTTTAAAATACTGCTTAATTTGTAGCTAAAAATGCAGACTAATTTTCTGACTATATTACTATAAAAACCTTCTACAAATATTTTTTAACTAAAATTATAAGAAAAACATCCACCATAAACACGTAAGATTAATATTTTCATTTCTGAAGTATAAAATGTCTGGATAGACTTGAGCTTGTTGCTTTAGTTTTATATGTGAAGACTGGAAAAATTCTGTTTTGTTTTGGAAAATATTTTGAGCTAGAAATGTTGTATTCCACATTTGTTAGGAATGGAAGTCTTTAAAATATGAAATATTTCCAACTGAAGAAAAATAGTGAAAATGAACTTTATCTGAATAAGATTAATGAAAATTATATGTTGAAAAAGTAAAATAGTTATGTGTACTAACAGTGACTACTAACCCAACAATATAAAATTAAGTAAAAATATTATTACCATGTTAAATACAAATTAAAATTAATTATAAGAAAGTTAAGATCTATGATTAAAGTATTAAAATAAAATGAGACTTCACAAATTTAAAAGCAAATTGGTGAATGACATATTTTTTGAAATAATAAATTCTTTGGCATATTTTATATTTTTTATTATAAATGAAAATTATTTATTTGAAATATTTAAAGGAACAAAATATTTGCAGCTCTATTTTATTGAGAAAGTAATTACAAAACAAAAACAAGGAGTTTTTGTAATTACAAAAGAATATATTAATAATATTATTTAGAAGCACAAAACCAGAAAAGCTTTATATTATTTCTAACAATAAGTGTAAACCATCTAATTTTCTGAAAAGGGGTGGAAATAAATATTTAACAAAGAAGATGTTATTCTTAAATTGTAATATGTACATTGCCTAAAAATAAAAAGGTAGTTGAAGATATATTGTGAACAACAAAAAATGAAGAGCTGATAATATTAATGTGCGAAGGAAACTCATAACATATTGTACTAATTATAAATCAGTGTATTGACAAAACCTAAGTCCTCAATTATTATTGACTGTTATTGACATATTAATGATAGAATATTAAATATAGAATATAATAAAGTGATTTAGAATAAAAAAGAGAAAGCGATAGACATGAATAGAAACAAAATGCAACTGTTCAATATTAAAAGCCTTTCTAAATTGCTTGTGTTTTTCTAGTGACCTGTTTCGCTATGCAGTGTAGGCTCAGGTGTCTAGATTTTAGTTGCAGATAAACACAGGTAGTATTTTCCAGATCTCAGAATGACCAGTTACATAAAAATAGGCCATAAACCATATATTTCATTCTTATGGTTGACAAACCTCTAATTCACCTGAAAATATTAAAAAGAAAGAAGACAGACGTGACAGTGGTTGGAAGTTGAGGATAAGAAGAAGTTGGCAGAAATAAGCTTTCTTCTTTTGGACAGCAATGCATGATAAAAAAATTAAACTAAATTCAGTTCATTTCCACTAACTGGGACTTATTTAGAAACTTTAAGGAAGTCTTTGAAGAATTTCAATTGAGGAGTAAATAAGGGCCAATTTATTTCATAGTATGGACTCTCAAGACAATATACAGCAGTGCTTCTCAAAGTTAAACAGTATATGAGTGACCTGGAAATGAAGATGCAGATTTAACAGGGCTGGAGAGAAGTCTGAGATTCTAAATTTCCAATGAATTAAATTACAAAGAGGAGAAAATAAGGTTATTGCTTACTTTATATACATTCACAAACACAGGATAATCAAATAATTGTTTAAAGTATTGCTCTGATAAGAATTAAATTACATATTTCATAGGAAACATTTTCTTTACATTCGGGTTTTATCTATTATTAGAATAATAATAGAATCTTGACTTTATGTAACTCTATATTCCAAACAACTAGAAACTTTTCGATAGCAATTGTTCACCATTTAATAACATTTTTCCAAGATATCTAATGCACTCAAGGACAAAATAGCTGCCTTCCAGTGATTTCCAATTTATTCAATTTTCAGGCAATCTGTCTGCCCACACAATGACAGATTGTAGTTACATTCTTGCCACGCTCCAAACAGCTAAGCCAATTGTTTTCAATCTTTTTTCTTCAGCAACTCCATCTCTTAAAGTACTTCAGAGTAGTTCATGAAAGGATTCCTCTTTAGTTAAATGGCTATACAGCTCTCCCATCATCCAAAATAATCAGTGGAGAGATAGCAATATTTTTCATTACATTAGGCCAAGTTCCATTGCTTCCTTCATGTTGTAATCTGATCAGAAACACCACTATAGATTCAATAATTGAGTTTAGAGTTTCAGAGAATTTGGGGTCACAGAACATCTATGTCTATTTTGTAAAGATTATTGCATATTACTGAAATAGCTTGTCAAACACTGCAGTCTGCTTAAAGTATCAAAATAGAAATGTTGAATGCTGTGTCTGCACAGAGTTCATTTAAGCAAAGAATCTACTAGGCTCTTAAGTCTGTTAATGCAAATTCCTGAATACAATTGACCCTCCATAACCCCATTGTGGGTGGATTTAACTAACATGAATCAAACATATTTGTTAAAAGAAATACCAAAAATAATTTTTAAAAAGAAATACAACAATAAAACAATGCAAATAAAAAACAATCCTTATAACAATTATGTGCATAGCATTTATATTGTATTCAGTATTATTAATGTAGGTAATCTGGAAATGATATAAAGTATACAAGAGGGTGTGTGTAAGTTATATGCAAATACTAGGCCATTTTATATAAGAAACTTGAGCATCTCTGGCTTTTGCTATGAAGGGATGATGGTGGTAGGATTGGTGGTGGTCCTGGAACAAATCCCCAGCAGGTACCAAGGGGGACTGTAGACCCCAAAGCTGTTAGGAATGGGTCACAGCAGCAGGATTGAGGTAGGAATGCTCCCCACAGAAAACATCAACCACCTGTTGATTTGTGAATCTGCTCTTCTCAGGCATGCCTTCAAATGCTATAACCTGGAGATTCAACTCATTTTCATGCTGCTAAGTAGGAATAGGTGATTCAATTCCCCAAGAAAGTGACAGAGGTCCCTGAAATATAGATTTAAAGTTACATAGTGTCAAATGCTAGTCATTTTCTCTTTGCTCGATGGTATCCTCTCAGAAAAACCTTTCATAATATTTCTAATTCATTTACCAGATTTATAGAATCATCAAATTATCTATCAATGTGTTTTTCAAATATTTTGTGAAGTGCCTAGGGTAACAACCTATTGTTCGAACATATTTTGTGAAGTGGCTAGGGTAACAACATAATGTTAGAACTTATGTTCGTATTTAAATACAAATGTATTTTGGTTGAGTGATTACTCAAGGTCACTGAGGAGTCCACAAGGTTAACGTCCTGACTCTAGAACCATTGTTATATAGAGATATATAAATAGCTGATTTAATATTATAGGCTTAGCAAAATATTTAATAAATAAGGTCTTAGTAAAACAACACACATGTATTTATCCACTTATTTAATTTTGTTTTTCCATTTCTTCTGAACATAAGTTCCTGAGGACACGGGCCTTTTTTCACAGTTCATTTTTGGATTCCAACATCTAGCCAGTACTTTGCAAAGAGCACTGAATTTGAAATAAATTTCTCAGTTAATGATTTGAATCATATAAAATATTTAGTAAATTTGAAAACTAGTAACCGTGTAAAGTGATTAAAACAAACATACTAGAGGGTAATAATCCCCCACCCCTTGCCTTCTTCCTTTACATCCACTTCATTCTTATTCTTGTCTACTTCCCCTGCTCCACCCAGGGAACGTGGTTAGCCCATCAACTGCAAAGATTGTTCTCATATAATATTGTTCTGATGGATAATGAGACTCTGAAAGTGGAACATAAACAGATAAAACAAAAACAAACAGAAAAAAACCCAAAAACCTAAACTCAACTTCAGTTAAAGCAGAAAATATCTGTCCAGCCTAAACCAGGCATACTCAACAGACTTCTTCTGTTAGAAGCCTGATCCTACTTCAGTCTGGAACTACCTAGTCTTCAGGTTTGCCTGGTGCTCACCAGCTGAAGAAATCCTTTAACGACCTTTATTCAGTCAAGTAAATTGTTTTATTTTGGCAACTTGCATGTTATTTTTTAGGTTTTCATTTATTTTTTTTTATATTTAAAGTCATATTTTCTTCCTTTTATTCACTTTGCTGGTCTTTCTCACTTTGATTTTTTTTTTTTGCCTTGTTTTGCATTTGTTTACTTTAACATTGTTTGTAACTTATCTCTTTTATTTTGGAAATTATTCACATTATCAGTTTTCTTTTGCTAGGCAATTTTGATATTCTAATAAACATTATTAACATAAAATATAAAGTTTATTAACACCAAGCCCAAACAATACCAAGTCTTAGGGCTCTTTAATTGCAATTATTTAAAAATATTTGCTACAAATTGTTCATTATTTTATATTTACATTGTTTTTCTTATTCCCACAAATCACATATTGTTGGTGTGTTTGTTAAATAAAATTGTGATTGCTTATATATATTTTTTCACATCCTTTCTTCTTCTAATATTTTGGAATTTACATCCAGTTAATTATCCTTTATTCTATGATATATACTGTAAAAGTTACTATTCTTGGTAGTAAACCCTCAGTTTTTGGGTTGTCTGAAGATGTCTCTATTTTGATCTGCTCTTGAATTCTAAATCTAATTGACATAAAATTCTAGATTTGCCATTATCATTTATTAGCCCTTCAAAGATATTCCACAATTTTCTGACTTTCAATATTTTTGTTGGTAAAAATGGTGATTGTTAATTGGCTTGCATATTCTGTTTTGGATATTCCGTTGTTTCCTTATAATTTGTTTATTTATAAGGAAACTTATAAACAAATTATAAGGAAACAATAGAATATCCAAAATAAAGAGAATAGTTATGGGTTCATATAGATAATTCTTCAGAATCTACTAATTTGTGTCTTTCTTCTTTACTTCTGTAAACTTTTCAGCTACTATATATTAGAATATTTCTTAACTTTTTTATATTCATTCTGAAATTTCTTACTGAAATTTGTTCAAAAGGTGAGTTAACGGAGCTATACATTTTTAGTGTCATGTGCTCTAAATTGCAAAATACATGTATTTTTATTTCAGACAACTTGAGTAACATTTGTGCAAATGTTTTATATACATGTACTTAATTTGGTAAATTTAGGCATGTGGTAGACAAATTTAAAAATGTATAAAAATCATGGGCAAGCATATGAACATTCTATTTTTGCTACTATAAAAAAATAGCAGACTATCCAACTATTTTATGATACTCAACGATACATCTTACTAAATGGTCATGACTCTTGCCTCTCAGGGTCAGAGTTTGCAATAGTGAAAGCAAGAGAAAGCCATGGAATAAAAACAGGGAGAGGGAAAATATTAAGCGCTGGAATATGTACATTGTTTTGCTTGTGTAAATTTAGAACATTCAACACATGTTTACAATGAATACATATAAAATACCAATGACATGAGGAGAATTAGAATAGAAATAAATACAAGGATTCTTTCATGATAACTACAAAATATCAGTGAAGGTTTGTACATAAAATTTAGGGATTTTATATTATTACCTAATACAATTCTGGCTATAACATCACTAAAGGATTGTAAACGTCTGCTGGGAAACCTATGGGAAAAAATGCAAGTGGAACTGGTGTCATACAAACACATTTTCTAATGGGAAGCTTAACTGGTGAAATGTAAGTTGGAAACATTACTAAATTTAGGTCTATGAAAATGTTTTCCCAAATACAATCTTTTCTTGTTGGATAGGAGGTTTTACTGTGATGTATTATTTCTGACAGCCTTTTTTTTTTAAAGCAAACGAGTAGAATTAAGTGAATTAATTATCATATCTAACCTGTAAGTACAAATTACTTTCCCTTGGAATTACATAATTGATAATTGTACATCCTTAGATGTGTTTGAATCTGAGATTTACTCTAAACTCAGAGAAAAAAAAAGTGAAATTTTGTTTCCATTGTGACACCTTTGTTTCCTTTTTAAGTTTTCAAAATTTCTTAAAAAATATTTTTCCCTTTCATAATTTATTCAACAAGTATCTATTGTTAGGTGTTGGGAACACAAGACCTGAAACTCCTGACAAATATATTCTATTTATGAGGTCAATTTGTACATTAATAAATGCATATGTAATACGAGACAAGATTGTAATGCTAACCAGTTTGACTTTGAGGCACAGTATTCAGAATGTAAATGCCCCTGGAAAAAACATTGAATATAAATGCCCCTGGAAAAAGAATGTAGTTGGAAAAAACATTCTGAGGTAAAATTATGCAATATTGGTGTGAATAATTATAGTGACCAGAGGTTCACACATTTTTGTGACGTGCCATTGGTAGAAAAAGAGCCATAGCTGAAAAAATATGGCAGTCATAAGATGTCAGTGGAAATGAAGACAAGGATACCTTTTGGTCAATTTTCTTGAAAATATTGGCTTTTTCAACAGTGTAGTTTATTTAAAATTTAGTCCCAGTTCTTAGCAATTATTTATATACTGATGGACTTATATCCAGGGTCTTCTTGAATTAAAAAAAGTCAAAAAATAATTTTATAAATTTAAAATATTTTAAAATTATGATATATACAATTCTTACTCTCTCTGTCATATTTTTCCAATGTTTTGTCTGTCTTGTTTTTTCTTGCCTTTTCTTCCCTGTCCTTTCCCTTTCTTTTCTTTTATTTTTGTTTTCTTTGTCTGGCCTTGCTTTGAGTTTCTTTTCCAAACGAATTCACTGGAGGTGATATTTGTATGCATAATATACACAGCAAATTTCTAGGGCCTCTCATTTTTACAAATCTTTGTAAGAAAAGGCTATCTATTAACCCAATGACATTGTCATAACCTTTTCTAAATTTCAATGATATTCAGTTTCTCACAGCTATTACATTACAAAGTATACCTCAGTAAAACTCTAGTAAGTCACAGGGCTGATGTTGCTGATTGCTCACTTGCTCAAGCCAGAAGCTTAGAATACATGCTTGATTCTTCACTTTCCTGTGGGTTTATGCCAAATCAATTTCAAATCTGTAGATCTTATCCTCTAAATAACATACATCATGCCTACTTTTTTCTCTCTCTCTACTACTGTCACATTAATTCAAAAGAAAAAGACTGATGATTCCTAACTTCCTGGCTTCAGTAATTGGCAACGATGACATCACTACTGGAATGAGAAAACTTGGGGATAGTAACTGATATCTGAGGAAAATCAATCTCCAAAAATATTCTCACTGCTTCCACTTCCTGCATCCCTTATTCACTTTTATTTTTTCCCAGCAGATTCTACTGTGGTGGAAATTTGGCCATATTTCTTCTTCTTTTAAAATTATTCAATGGATCTCCATGTCACACAGAATACAATCAAAGTCTTTATCTCAACCTATAAGGCCATGTATAATTTGTCTATTTTTATCTCTTAACATGTATGTGAAAACATTATGCTCTTTATTTTTAAATTTGTTTTAAAAAATACATATCATCTGATTTTGTTACTATCATCTGATTTTCTCAAATCACTAGCTCATTATGGCAAGCAAAACTGCTCTTAATTCCTCAAAATGTTCCTGGCTTACACTGTTTCAGGAATGGTGCATATGCTTTCAAAGTCTTTTCTCCATCTTCTCTTTAGTAACCTCTTCTTATAATTCAAGGTTCTGTTTAAATGGCACTCCCTCACAGAAGTCTTCCCTATTCTACGTGGATCTTCACTACTTATTTTCTGAGGCCCTGTCTGCAATATGACTAAATTAACAAAAGAAGGAAGGAAAGAAGGAAGCAAAGAGGGAAGGAAGGAAGCAAGGAGGAAAGAAGGAAGGGGAGAAGGAAGGAAGGAAGAAAGGAAAGAAGGAAGGAAAGAAAAAAGGGAGGGAGGGAATGAGGGAGAGAGGGAGGAATGGTAAACAGATTTGACTCAATTTAATACCTGAACTTTAGAATATGACTATATAATATACATATTAATATTACATATGAATATTACATTCATATATTATATATTCACATTGTACAAAAATTTAGACATTGTATATTATATATATAATATGTGTGTATGTACACTGCAGCATTATTGTATCTAGAAAAGAGAATTTGTAATATGTGAGGTTGCTAAGATCTCATATAAATATGTAATCCATTAAATACCAAAATATTTTATTTCGAAGAATTTTAAAATAATGTCCTGTACTAAGATCACAGAACAACTTAGCAGGAATCTTTATTGATTTTCCTTATTTTTATTGTGAAGATTTTTCAGACATAATGAAAATTTAAAAGAATATTTCACACAAGATTAATATAATATCCACCTATATTTAGTAATTGCTAACATATTACCATATATTATTAATTTCACTAAATATCTCTTTAGATAGGTAGAACCATGGAGATCTGAATATTTTGGCCCAAAACATTTCAGCATGAAATTCCAATAAATTAGGGCATTCTCCCACAGTGCCGATGGGTAAGATTTATTTTTTACTGCTGGACTGAGACAGCTCTATAGTTATCTCCCAGAACATCTGAAAGTCTGGTACTGATTCCTGGCCAAAATGAGGGCAAGATTAAATACAGTCTGTTTAAAGTTTGAAACTCCTGTGGCTAGTTTACGTATTGATGGCTTACACCTGGTATAACCAGGCATGCAGCCTGACAAAAGGTTCACCTGGAAATTTGGGAGACCTTGCTTCTAAGTCAAAATTCCTCACAAAATCTTGATGAATTGTATTTCAGAGATGAAGTATGTCCTGTGCAAACACACATACACAACACACAACACTCACAATACAACACACACACACAACACACGACACACACACACACACACGCACCCTTACAACCGTGGATAGAAGCACCTGAAATATTTGCCAGAGTCTATGGTGCTTGCCTTCCCTTGCTTGCTTTTACTCCATCATCCTCTGCTGCTGTAGTAAAAGCCTCGTGTGCATATGCTCTACAGAGTCTTATGAGTCTTTTCAGTATCCCAAACTGTGAAAACACTGACAATAATCATTTTAACAACTATGAAAATTTTATACTAATTCCATAATATTATCTAATATCTTGTCTACATCCAACTTTTCCTAGTTCTTCACAATTCTCCCTTATATACTTCTAAAAAATAGTACCTCATCAATTTCATATTTTACATTTGTTTGGTAAGTCATCATATCATTTTGTCTTTTTATCTGTAACAATCTCACCACTTTTTAAACTAAGATGGACTTTTTGAAGTTCAGGTCAGTTATTATTGCGCAGAATGTTCTACATCCTGTATTTGTTTGATAATTTCCTGCTGGTGTGGAGTAACTTGCCATGTGTTCCTGCATTTCTTGCACACTGGATGTTAGGTTTAGAGGTATAACCACCCTTAGGTTAAACATTTTTATGGAATACTTTTCAAGTGGTGTATTATTTATCACACATCAGAAGGTACATGCCAAGTTGTCCTATTATTTCTGAAACTAAATTACATTTGTGATTCAAGTTTTTGCACTTCTAATTTTCTTTTGTAACTCATAAGTAACTGTAGGATGATGCTTTTTTGGTCATGTTGTAATCTGGTGCTGATTCTCTACATTTTTGAAGTCACTAGGTCTGCTACCTAATTATGCCAACTAAATTAAAATTTAAATGAAATTAACTGGTTTGATAGAGTAGCATTTTTAGTCAGAGCTCTTTCAATTGCCAACACTTCTAACTAAAAGACCTTTAGGCTAAATGAGTAGTAACTGGAAGATACTGGAGATATCAAGATTCAAAGGATGCTCTCTAGGAAGCAGAACAGCTCAAGGGTCCTGGCAAGTGGAACCTGGGACAGGACTCCATAGTGACTAAGGCTTCACTTCTCACCTCTGCTTCCATATGAGTGTAATGTTATTTTCTCCTATGACAGATAAGTTTATTTTTCACCATTAAAAGGTAAGAAACTCACTCATAACCAAAGCTGGAGGAGACAGTTATTTTTTTTCCCCAGCTTGCCTGTTAAAACCGTAAGGAATGATTAATCTGCCATGGTGCTTGATGTGGCCCAGGGATGTGCTCAGACTCAGTCATGTAGGGGCAGGTGGTATTAACATTAGTTCAAACATGGAACCATGGCATGTGTTAGAAATAATGGCTTATAGTAGAAACTGGACATAAAATTGTTGTGAGCAAGAAAGTTACCTCAATTTGAGTCTACTAGAAGTTTCAGAGTGCCATTTCACATGGCCACAAAGTTCAAAAGTTCCAAAAGAAGCAAAAGTTTGACCAAGAAATCAGTGATTTTTTTAAAAAGAGAAATTGAGCTCAATCATGTTTTTTATATCTTCTACTGTACTAAAAGTTTTTTTCTCAATAATTGACTAAAAGATCATTAACTACTGCACAGACTTCAATATTTAGAAATGTAATACGGGCTTGCTAACTAAAAGTGAAGTTATTTTATTGTTGGAACTAGCTATTGTTAGAAAGACTCATTTGCTTTTTATAATAAAATTTTACATATGATTTATAGATTTACAGATTATAACAATTTATAGATAATTACCTCATTAATTTATTGAATAACCTGACTAAATTACTTAGTCACTGAATTAAATACAACCCAGCCTTAATACTTTGGGTCAAGGAACATTGACCAAATATATATTTATGCCACAGATTCCTTGAAATTTCTTACCAAAGTAAATTGTTTCATGAAAAATACAGAAATAAATTGGTAACTAAATAAAACATGTTCTATATTTCAACTTGAAAAATTAAAGAAATTCATAATTCTTAAAATCGAAGCAATGATCATTTGTTTCCTAATTATTATTATTGTGAATGTACTTAAAATTTTTGCTATGCTTTTAAGAAAGATGTACTTCTATTAAAAATTATTAAAATAAACAGCAGAGAGACTGACTTTTCAAAATAGTTTATCTGGGAAGAGCAATGAACTGCAATTTGGGATATGTGTACCGTAGTGAACCATAGGCACATTTGAAAAAGCTGGGGGATCCAAAGCTTTTTTAAGGGTAAAAGGTGAAGTTCCCCATCAAACTACCATTGGCATTCTTCACAGAATTAGAAAAACCAATTTTAAATTTCATATGGAATCAAAGAAGACCCCATATAGCCAAGACAATCCTAAGCATAAAGAACAAAACTGGAGGCATCACACTACCTGACTTCATTACTACAGGGCCTCAGTAACCAAAACAGCATGGAACTGGTACCAAAACAGACATATAGACCAATGAAGGTGAACATAGACCTCAGAAATACACCAAACGTCTACAACCACCTGATCTTCAACAAACATGACAAAAACAAGCAATGGGAAAGGATCTCATATTCAGTAATAATGTGGGAAATCTGGCTAGCCATATACAGGAAACTGAAACTGGACCCCTTCCTTACACCTTATACAAAAATTAACTCAAGATGGATTAAAGACTTAAATGTAAAACCCCAAACCATAAAAACCCTAGAAGAAAACCTAGGCAACAACATTCAGGACATAGGCATGGTGGGCAAAGACTTCATGACAAAAGTGCCAAAAGCAATTGCAACAAAAGCCAAAATTGACAATGGGATCTAATTAAACTAAAGAGCTTCTGCACAGCAAAAAAAAAAAAAAAAAAAAAAAAACTATCATCAAAGTGAACAAGCAGCCTACAGACTGGGAGAAAATTTTTGCAATCTACCCATCTGACAATGATCTAATATCTAGAATTTACAAGGGACTTAAACATGCTTACAAGAAAAAGACAAACAACGCTATCAAAAAGTGGGCAAAGGATATGAACAGACACATCTCAAAAAAAGACATTTACGTGGCCAAAAAACATACAAAAGAAGCTCAACATCACTGATCACCAGAGAAATGCAAATCAAAACCACAATGAGATGCCATTTCACGCCAATTAGAATGGAGATTATTAAAAAGTCAGGAAACAATAAATACTGGAGAGGATGTGGAGAAATGGGAACGCTCTTACACTGTTGGTGGGAAAGTGAATTAATTCAACCATTGTGGAAGACAGTATGGGCATTCCTCAAGGATCTAGAACTAGAAATACCATTTGACCCAGCAATCCCATTACTAGGTATATACCCAAAGGAATATAAGTCATTCTACTGTAAGGCAACATACATATATATATATTTATTGCAGCACTATTTACAA
The DNA here is from genome assembly GCF_000001405.40 of Homo sapiens. NCBI lineage: Eukaryota > Metazoa > Chordata > Mammalia > Primates > Hominidae > Homo > Homo sapiens. Next base: position 21,316,176 of record NC_000005.10, on the reverse strand, counting down.
TAGCAAAGACATGGACCCAACCCAAATGCCCATCACTGATAGACTGGATAAAGAAAATGTGGTACATATACACCATGGAATACTATGCAGCTATAAAAAGGAATGAGAGCATGTCCTTTGCAGAAACATGGATGAAACTGGTAGCCATCATCCTCAGCAAACTAACACAGGAACAGAAAACCAAATACCGCATGTTCTTATTCGTAAGTGGGATTCGAACATTGAGAACAAATGGACACAGAGAAGGAAACAACACACACTGGGGCCTGTTGGAGGTTGGGGGGTGAGGGGAGGGAACTTAGATGATAGGTTGAAAAGTGTAGCAAACCACCATGGCATACGTATACCTATGTAACAAACCTGCACGTTCTGCACATATATTCCTTTTGTTTGTTTTTTGAAGAAGAAGAAGAAATAAAGAAAAAAAAAAGGTGAAGTTCATGTAAATTATTTTAAAATAAACCTCTTTGGCCCCAGAAGCTTACTGCTTGGTGTGGACAAATACTCATTGGTGATACTGGCTGTTGCTGGGAAGATGTCTTCATAGAAGCGTCGTATCTAAAATTTTTGTGGTTTTCAGAGAGTCCTTGCAATAATTCTTTTAGAGACATCCATGCATGAAGGGCCTTCTTTTATACTCTCCGAGCTCCATTTTGTTGTGGTTTGACTTAAGTGAGTCAACTTCTTTGCTGGTAACTTTAACATTTCCCCCTTTTGACCAAGACTTTTTTCTGAAAGCATTGCAGATTAATCAGCCTATAGTTAGGTTTTGATTGTTTCTTGGTGCTGGAGTGGACCTTTCCTAGTTAGTCTGATCCTGCATCAGAGATGAATGGCCAGCAACTAAGAGCAGATGTCAAAACCCTTTTAGTCACATTTAAGAAACAAAGAGGTTCAGAAGGAGTGGCTCTCAGGATAAATGTGCCTGGAGTTCATTGCTAAGTTCAATTTTGTCAGTTCCATAGGCATTGACTACCATTTGGAAGTTCTGGACCAGTGTTATTCTGTTAGATGCATCATTTCTGCAGAGGTTGGACAGGAAACAGATAAAAAGTTTAAAAAGAATGATGCGGTACAAAATTAATAGTAACATGAAATATTGTCTATGAACATGGACCCAAAGGCAGCCAACTAATGAATCAAAAGTCTATGTGAGACTGAGTGAGATCTGTTGTAGCCATAAAGCCTGTCTTGCTATTTTATGCAATTAGGTCTTGACTTCCCCAGAGAAATATATTCAGGTACAGCATGTAGTTATTAGCAATGGCACAGACATTCTTGTTCAACCAGTAGATAATTGAGAGTTATCTCATCCTGTTCTGTTGTGTTATCTACGGCTACTCAGCAAGATACTTTAATGAGCACTGCTGGGCGGCAATAGCCTTTGCAGTGAAGCCTGCAGTGAAACCCAAGGTGGCAAATAAGTCATTAGGGATGTTGCCATAGTTACCCACTGGGTGGACTAAAGGATCCCTTAGGTCATGTAAAGATGTGGGTTTGACACAACAGATCCAAAACTTCATTCAGTTACGGAAGCTACTGAATGTGAAATTCTAACCACAGCGTTATTCTGCCAAGTGAAAAATGTAGGCATAAGCAAGAAAAAAAAATAAGAAGGATAAGAGTCCAGTTTTGTTACAGTGTCTTGGGAAAAGCTTTCCACACTGTGATGTCATCAACTTCTTACTCTGGTTTGTAGTTTGAATGTTCCTGGGTATAGCATGGGGCATTTTAGTCAATTCTCTTTGTAGCCCACACAATAGCCATGAGATTTCTCTCTTGAAATTTACATGGAGTTTTCTGGCTCCAACTTATAGGACTTTAGGAACAAGGCAGTTTATGTTCTTAGTTGGAGAATCGTAGCCAGATGTTGGAGGAAATTAGAATAATTAAGTGCCCTGTCTAATTTAGAGTTAGATGACAAAAACTTGAAAACAACAAAGAAAACTACAATCTAATAACAGGTGTACTGCAGTTTTTCTTCAGAAACATAATTTTTCTCTGTACAATCGTCCCTATTTCTACTAAAGATAATCAGAGTAAGACTAATTTGTCTGCTGAATAAGTTTAGTCTCATTAAACTTGGCATGATTATTGACAACAGTGTAGCAAGAAAAGGGATGAAACATGGGCTGTTTTTAAGTTTATTTTGATGGAACTTTTGATAAGAAATCTCAGATTCGACTTTTAAAAGCCTTTCAAGGGTCAGAAGTCAAAGGAGGGTGAACATCAGACTTTGGCTGCAGTATCTAAAAATTTGCATGAATTTCTCTCTTCTTGAGGTCTCCAATATATCTGAAGGTTCCTGGCCTGTCAAGAGGTAAAAATGTTTATTCACTCACTGTGAGCTTGGGAATCCTTGAAGCTAGGCATCCTATGCATAGTCTCAAATATCACATTCAAGTCAAGCCATTTATAATATAACCAATGTTTCTAATTCTATCCTGTTACAAAGAGAATAGATTTTTATTGAATTTATGCAAATAACTATGTTGCCATAAAATAAAAATATCAATAAGAGCTCTCTGAAGACTGCAGGCTCAGGTAGGAAGAAAAAATAAATATTTCCATTTTTATTTATAAAAGTGTACTTTACCAAATTGCTATATACTATCGATAGCTTTTTAAAAGTTTTCTCAAATCTGGAAAACAAAAAATTTTAAAAAACAGCAAAATGTTAAACAGAAAGTCACTTGAAAATATTGCCATCAGTTTGTTTAGTCCCATTCATTAAACTTATTCTACTTGATCTGGGTTAGATGTTTTAAGAAGCCATCGTTTCTTCATTAGAGTTCTGGAAATTCTTTCCCAGTCCAGTGGTATAATCGTAAACTCATAAGAAATCTAAATTCCAGCATACTTGTTAGAATCCTTTTCATGATCCTCCTTGAAGAGGAAGTATTTTTCTTTATTCATTTTAATTTATTCTCTACAATACTTCATTAGGGAGTTCAATGATTTGCACTCAGAAGTTAAATAGCCAAGAGACAAGCAAGTATAATAAACTTCAGAATTGGACTGAGGTTGTTGCACTGAAGGCCATGTAGTCTTTTGCTTCAGGGAAATAACAACAAAAATAACCAAAATGAACACATAGCTCCCTAGGCTTCTGAATCTCAATAGAAAATAACATCAACATTTAATGAAATTGTAGATATTAACACATCATGGGAAAAAAGATACTGTGTAAAATATTATAATTAACACTGGGCACTTCTTTTGTCTAGATTTTTATTATAAACAATAAAATATATGTAATATCTTAACTACAAACCTTTCATGTTGAAAGGGCATCTAACATAACTTGTTTTAACATTATGAAGGGAAAAAGTTTAGAAATTTCAAAGTGGAAACAATCCAACACTAACAAACTATAGTGATCAAAAGTATTAACTTTTAAAGAAAAACAAGGACAATTCATAAAAGTAGAACTACCATTCGATCCAGCAATCTTACTGGTTATCTACCCAGAGGAAAAGAAGTCATTACACAAAAAAGATACTTGCACATGCACGTTTATAACAGCACAATTAGCAATTGCAAAAATGTGGAACCAGCCTAAATGCCCGTGAATCAATGAGTGAATAAACTGTGGTATATATTTATGTGTGTATGTGTGTGTATGCGATATGTATGTATATATATATATGCATAAATACATATATGTGATGGAATACTACTCAGCCATAAAAAGGAATGAATTAATGGCATTCATAATAACCTGGATGGGATTGGAGACTATTATTCTAAGTGAAGTATCTCAGGAATGGAAAACCAAACATTGTATGTTCTCACTCTTAAGTGGGAGCTAAGCTATGAAGATGCAAAGGCATAAGAATGATACAGTGGACTTTGGGGACTCAAGGGAAAGAGTGGGAAAGGCATGAGGGGTAAAAGACTACAAATTGAGTTCAGTGTATAGTGCTCGGGTGATGTGTGCACCAAAATCTCACAAATCACCGCTAAAGAACTTACTCATGTAACCAAATACCTCATGTTCTCCAAAAACCTATGGAAATAAAAAATTTAAAAAATTACAGAAAGGGAATGTATTATGAGACAAGCCAAGTTTGTAGACCAAAACATGCTCATAGCTAGGGATGAAACAAACCACAAACCAAGCCAGCAAAGTTGGGTTGATTCATTGAAAAGAATGGTTACCTATTGTCCAGATTGAGTAGCCCAAAGGCAAAGGAAACACTGAGCGTAAAACGTTCCCTTTTTTTTAAACCTACCACTCACACCACATGCACTGATCACTCTCATCACTGCTTTGGTAAAGCATGTAGGATGCAGTTCAGTTTCAATTTGGAGCTGTTACCTCCCCAGGCAAAGCTGCCACACAGATGATCCAGACTTGGTGTTTTTCCTGAGAGCCACCTGCCACACATTTTCATGAGGTGAACATGACTATACACATCCAGGCTACTTCCTGACTAGGCCCTGTTCAGGAAGCATCCTGAGGTGTCCATTCCTCGTGGAGCCAAATAGTTCCCTTGGTTGACTCCTGAGTCCCCTTGGCAAGCCAAGCAGAATTCAAGCATTTCTACTGCTAGCCTTGTATGGGAGCATGAGCGAATGTAAAGGGAGCAAGGCTCTTCACTCCATAAACCACAGCCTACTTCGGGGTGGTGCTGGACTAGCCCTATTCTTGGGTACTGAATTTCTTTTTCTCATTTGTTGGGATTTTAAATTTTCTATTTATTTTCTTAAATGGCAGGTATCCTACTGCATCTTCAATAAAATAAAATATATACGTATATATGTTATACGCTGGAGAAAACAAATAGGGGAACAGTTTGATAGTTTAGCACCATTTTTTTGCTTTTATTTAACCTTTAGAAGTAAAACACAATTATTAAAATAGAATGCTTGAGCAGTAATAAGTGTAGCCCTATGTATCAATATTATTGTACAAATTGGATGTGGGTGGCTTAATCCAGAGCTGACCACCCTGATAATAATCCAGAAAAAAACTATTGTTACACCTGTTTGTAACAAGACATTTATTATTCTCAGCACCAGGACATCATAAAATGACTCCTTGATCTTCATTTACTTCACCAAGGGAAACATGGCAGGCTACAGAAACTCAGCACAGCAGTTAGTGGGGCTGTGCCCTGGGTGCCCTGATGTCACCCACATTTCCCTTGCATGTCTCAGGTCCTAATGAGCAGTGCAGGACAATGTTGAGCCAACCTACTCACCCGTGCCCATTCCTTCCCAGAAACTTAAAGGTGATCCCTATAATAGCACATATATCCTTTCCCAAATTGTGTCTTTGCTCCCCTAACCCCATTCTTGGCAGAAGAAAAAACAAAACATCTCTTGACTTGAATATTTGCTTATTTTAGAAACCTACACAATCACCATAAACTTTAAAAAAAAATAAATCAAAATGTTGTTTTCACTGGGTTGACACCTATCTGCTTCAAGAATTCTCTAAGCATGTTGTTGAAAACCAGTGTAACATCTTTAGGATCTTTCTCCCAACTGACCAGTCTTCCTGTGAATCATTTCAGCAGTTCCTTTGTGGCAATGTTTACAAAGCATCTTCTAAGTCCTCTAATTCTATGAGCTTTGCTATCAAAATAGTGAAGAATAGGAAAGGGGGAGGAAAAAACTAGCTGACAGCTATTTGGAAATCAGCAACAATGTGAAAGAGAAATGTATCACATGAAAGTTTGAAAGACATGGAATAAATGAGCTCCTTGGAAATTTGCCCTGGCGGAGTGAAGATTCCCACTTTATCTTCTTAGGCAAGATAAAGATTCACCTTATGTAATTACACAGCTTTGTTTAAGCATCCTGTAAAAGACTGAAAAATCAACTGTCTTCCTAACTCTACAGGCAAACTAGAAAAAGGATCTCCCTGCTTACTGGTCTCTCAGGATGTTTTCCTGAAAAGAAAACCAGCTTAGAGATACTGGATTTTCTTCTATGACAAAGTGTCCTCTTAAAGTCCAACCCAAACTTGTTTGCACACTTACACTTCTGAAAGCCTAGGTCCAACTATAGGGCTGATATCGGGAGAGAAGTGAAGTAGCTGGGTGGTGAGGAAGTGGTCTCTCCTTTCACATCTCTGGGCAGTAATGATATCAAGACCCCTTGTGGACATCTCTATTCCATTCCTCAGTCAGTGACACCACAGAGCTCTGTTTGATACCAGGAGACTTAATGCAGGAAAAGTGACAGAAAGTCCAACTGATAGTAGGATGAAAATTATAATCTTCAAGGATTATTGAGCCATGAGATCTGCAATGCTATCATAGGGTTTCTGATCCTGATGTGGGTCTCTGTCCAGGATCCTTGAAGAAATTATGGCACCCACATCCAACCCTAACATAGCTTCCACTTATGAAACAAGGAGGTTGTAATCAACTCTTGGTATGTAATAAACTGGAAGTTCAAAAATGTAATTTAAAACAATCTAAAAGAATTTAATGTTGGTCTCCATTGCACAGACTGCTAGGGGAATATATCAACTTGATTTGGGGAGGCTGTAGAGGTATATAGAGGAGTATATGGGTTAAACCTTGATGGATCATCAGTTTCAGAGAAGAAGCAATTTTTTATTGTAGCTGATTGCAAATGCTTTTAGAAAAGAATGAAAGCAATCGGTCCCTGTGGATGACAGACTTAGAGTGGCCATGGTTAAAAATCTCATGGAGTTTATTATAATAATAATGTAATTGACAAAGAAATTTGTTTATTTCTGTGGCATACAAAACTTGAAAATAATAACCAAGATTATGACCGATAACATATCAGATTTTGAAGAATTTAATATAATTTTGTAACACATATCAATAACATTCTGAAATACAACTTAAAGAAGGTTTAGTACCACTTAGTTTTTGACAATACTCCCTATATAATTTAATATATCAAGTAAGTCTTATTAGTTTAATATATCTCTTTACAATGTGAGATACACATTCTTTGATCTTTCCAGGGGTCCAAATGAGAAATATCAAAATTAACTTGAGGGCAAAAAGAGTTAATTTAAAATATTATTTTGGGAAGTTTGTCAAAAACATCAAACAGTTTAAAACACTTTATCAGAGTACAATAACAGGTAACCAAAATGAAAATTAAAAGATTTCAAAAAATAAATGTAGAAATTTACATAATTGTCAACAAAAACATAGCTTTTTAATACTGAGAACACTTACTTTTCTCTTTTTTTAACTTTTATTTTAGGTTCAGGGGTACACATGTGGGTTACTGACGCATTTATATAGATAAATTGTGTGTCACGGGGTTCGGTGTATAGATTATTTCATAACCCAGATAATAAGCATAGTACCCAGTAGGTAATTTTTAAATTTTCATCCTCCTTCCTCCCTCCACTCTAAAGTAGGCCCTAGTGTCTGTTGTTCCATTTGTGTCCATATGTACTCAATGTTTAGCTCCCCTTATAAGTGAGAACATATGGTATTGGGTTTTCTAGGATAATGGCCTCCAGCTCCACTCATGTTGCTGGAAAAGAGATGATCTCATTCTTTTTATGGCTGCATAGTATTCCATGTTGTATATCTACCACATTTTCTTCATCCAGTCTACCACTGATGGGCATTTAGGTTGATTCCATGTCTTTGCTATTGTGAAAAGTGCTGCAATGAACATACACGTGCATGTGTCTTTATGGTAGAATGATTTGTATTTCTTTTGGTATATACTCAATAGTAGGATTGATGAGTTGAATGGCACTTCTGCTTTGAGTTCTTTGAGAAATTGCCACACTGCTTTCCACAATGGCTGAACTACCTTACATTCCCACCATCACTGTATAATCATTCCCTTTTCTCCACAACCTCACTAGCATCTCTTATTTTTTGAGTTTTTAATAATAGCCATTCTCATTGGTGTGAGATGGTATCTCATTGTGATTTTGATTTGCATTTCTCTAATGATTAGTGATGTTGAGCATTTTGTCATATGCTTTCTGGCCACATATATGCCCTCCTTTGAAAGTGTCCATTCATGTACTTTGTGTACGTTTAAATGGGATTGTTTGTTTTTCACTTGTTGATTTTTTTAAGTTCACCAAATGCACTGTGCTGGGGTTCTGTGATAGTCCCTAATTGCTGTGCACCCTCCCAAGCCTGAGAGCAGCAGGAGGGAGGGTTGCGAGACAGCAAAAAGGTGGACTGCCTCTCTCTTTGGGAGCTTCATGCCAGAGAAGTGTAGAGCTGCTCCCAGCTGGAGAACTCAGGAGGACTAGGGTGGCCTCACTAGCATCCCAGGCTAGTGGGACTTATCCTACAAGGTTCAGTGGTGGTGAGGTCTGCAGTCTATCACTGCTCAGCCCCATGGACTTGGCCCCTTTTCTGGGGAGCATGCAAGAAAACTTGGCCTTCCCAATTGCTGGAGCTGCAGCCCCTGGTTTTGGGGTACCCAGGGAACAAATGCTACTGGGACTCCACACCTACCTAAGAAGCAGCTCTACCCAGACTCCACATGGCTCTCTGTTTTGGTCTGGAGACCCCAGTTGGGGTATCTCCTGAGCCCAGGGATTCAAAGGTTCGTGGCAGAATATGCATCCCACAGGACTCTCACTCACTGACCATTTTCTTGTAGGGGGATTCCCCTGGGTCTGTGCCACTCCTGGGTGAATGGTTGATCTGTCTCACTCTTCTCCGTGATCCGAAGGTCACACTATGTCACTGATGAATCCTTATGTGTCCACCTGGATGTTCCGGTTGAAGAGCTAGTGTCTACTCACCTCACCACTCTTTCTGCTATTTGTGAGAGTGGCATACACTAGCTGCTTCTAGTCAACCATCTTGGCCCCACCTCACTCACTTTTCTCAAGTAATCAAAGACCTAATAAAAGAGAGCATAAAGCATAAGAAATTACCTTGATAAACAAAAAATCGTGGTTTATTAGGCCAGTTATCTAAAAGGTAGAGAAAACATTTCACTATTTTCTATTAAAAGCAGGTCAATACTCAAAGAAAACCTTGTTGTTTTAGCACAGGGGACAAATTTCAAGTTTTCCATTCCTGTACTTTTGATAATAATGCTCAAGTTTTCAGAAATATTTATAAATAATTTCCTTTTAACTTTAGCCAACTTGGTCACACATAAAATTCTTTTCACAAGATTAATCTTCCACAAACTTTCTATAAATTTGTCATCCAGTTATCTTATTCAGTTTTTGTCTATATTTTTTCTCTTTTTCTTTTTGGAACAATAAGACATTCTACTTTTAGACAAAAAATACTCTCTTTTTCCCTTAACAAAAACACAACCTCTTACTTATAACTTTCTTTATGTGTTTTCCTTCCCTCACATACAGATTTGTTTCCCTTCATTATTTCTAGTTTAAATTACTCTAATATTAATTTTAATTAACTCTTAGTAACCTTAATTTCTAGTGAAAATTAGTAAGCATTTTGAAGTGCATCATGTTAGTATTTTGCAGATGAACACCATCTCATAAAATAATTTTTATGCCTTTAATTAACAGGCCCAAATATGTTTAGCTTTTCCATAACATGTGAAACCAAGATGCCAAATTACGTATATTTTAAACTTCTGTTAAGCAATTGATATTTCAGTATTTTCCTTAGAAATGACTCAAATATTAAATCAGTAAAGTGTTACTTAATTTAAATAACATGATTTTAAGATTTCAAGTCACACTAAATTATTTTTGAAATTCTGACAACTTTATTATAAACCTTTTGTCAATTTATATTCACCTAATTCACTTGTTCTTAACAATTGTGCTTCAGTTCCTCCTTAAACACAACTATGAGTGGATTTATAGCTTTAAGACATTCATTATACATCTCAGTAATAGCAAGCTTGTTTCACCAGTAACTTTAGGTTTAAAAACTGTATCTGTACATTGTAATTAATGCTGACAATTCTGAAAATATTTGTTTTTATTTTCCCAACAAATTTTAAAACTAGCTTTATCTGCCAAAGATTATTTCATCACATAAGCCAAAAGGCAATTGAGTTTCTGTTTTTCTGAGAGAATTCTTAGTTTAAACACTTATGTTTTCTCTGTAAGCCAATTAAGTAGAGCGGTTTATGAATTTTGGTAGAAAAAAATTATACATACACACACAGACACACACACGTAGAAAAATACAGACAGAGGAAGAACTTACAACTTGCATTAAGAATTGTTATTTGCCTGGCTTGCAAATAGTTTTACTCCCTCTTTCAGACTATCTGTCTTTTAATGATCTGTTCAATTGGCCCATAGATAAGTGTTAAGTTAGGCCACCCAAAATTTGTACTTCCAAAGAGATGATTTTTAGGTGAAGGAATGTAGAAAATTTGAATCTCAAAGGTACAGAACTTAAACACCACTATTTGTTGAGATGAAAAAAAGCATATATAGGAAGCATTCGAAATGAAATGGTCAAGGGTGGGTTTACACAGATAGATAGATTTAGGTCTCTTCCTTTTGCTTTGTGAAAGCATCTAGTGTTTTAGGTGTCAGAGAGGGAGATATCCTTACAAAGCAGAGATTATCATTACAGGTTTACATTTCTTACAAAGAGTTTCAAAATAAACAGATAAATGCCAAAAACATATATTTTGGAGACTGATTTAGTTCACTAGTTGGTCTATTCAACTTAACTTGTTTCCTAATGAGATTAAATTCATGCACAAATAACCAAACCAAAAATTAAACCAAAAGAATACTCACCAGAAAGGATGTCCTTTACAAGAGCAGATCCCCCAAAATGTAAGAGTTCACTGAAAAGGTGGGAGCTCAAACCAAGAGAGGACTTATCTCGCAGCATAAAGACAACTTGTACAAGTGAAGATCACAATGGGCTCAGGTGAGTATCATACACAATTTCAAGTATCACCAGTCCAAAGAAGGCTTGGAGCCTTTGCATCTTGCTTCTGACATTAGATTATGTCAACTTAAACAACAGAGATACTGACTCTCTAAAATAAAGAGTGTATTCAGGAAATAGCAGTAAATTGCAATTTGAAATACACATGCTATGGTGGACCTTAGGCACCAAAGAAGCTGAGGGACTGTATTAGTTTGTTCTAGCACAAAGAACTACCTGAGACTTGGTAATTTATAAAGAAAAGAGGTTTAATTGACTCATGATTTCATAGGCTGTACAGGAAACATGATTGGAGAAGGCCTCCGGAAACTTACAATGATGGCAGAAGGCAAAAAGGAAGGAGGCATGTCTTACATGGCCGAAGCAGGGGGAAGAGGGCAAAGGGGAGATACCACACACTTTTCAACAACCAGGTCTCATGAGAACTCACTATCACAAGAACAGCAAGGAGGAAATCCACCCCCATGATCCAATCGCCTCTCACCAAGCCCCTCCTCCAACATTGGGGATTACAATTCGACATGAGATTTGGGTGGGGACACAAATCTAAACCATATCAGGAAGGCAAAAATCTTAAAAGAGAAATTTTATGTAAGTTTTGTAATAAACCTCATGGGCCAGAGAAGCTTATTACAAGAGTTGGCAAATACTCGTTGATAATATTGGCTGTTGCTGGAGAGATGTCTTCATAGAATTATCATATCTAACATTTTTGTGGTTTTTGAGAGAACCATTGCAGCAGTTCTTATTATAGACATATGTACATGAAGGCCGCTCTTTCATGGCCTCCCAGCTTCATTTTTTTATGGTTTGATGTAAGTGACTCCATTTTGGTGCTCACAACTTCCACATTTCTCCCTTTTGGTTGAAATATTTTTCTGAAAGCATTTCACACTTAAAAGATACAGATTGGCCGGGCATGCTGGTTCACACCCGTAATCCCAGCACGTTAGGAGGCGGAGGTGGGTGGATCACCTGAGGTTGGGAGTTCGAGACCAGCCTGACAAACATGGAGAAACCCCATTTCTACCAAAAATACAAAATTAGCTGGGCGTGGTGGCACGTGCCTGTAATCCCAGCTACTCAGGAGGCTGAGGCAGGAGAATCACTTGAATCCAAGAGGCAGAGGTTGCAGTGAGCTGAGATCACGCCATTGCACTCCAGCTTGGGCAACAAGAACGAAACTCCATCTCAAAAAACAAAAACAAAAACAAACAAACAAAAAATGAAATAATTGTAAAAACCAACTATAGTTCTCAGTAATGATAGTTTCATTACTGTCAGCTATTAGTAGAGTTAATTAACTCCTATCAACCTCACATTTTCCATTTAAAAAATACAGGAGAAAAAGTTTGATGTGGGTTTAATGAGAAAATTTATATAAAGTAGATCTAACTACTATATTTATCACAAAACAGATGCACAAACTATGTTTTTTTCCTCTCACTTGTTCTTATTTTATATATCATTTTAATTGAGGAAATCATTGAGCATAATGTAACAAATATTTTCATAAGTTATTATAAAGAGGGTTTGAAGGACTTGTTAGAAAGTGTCTGGCAGTGGAAAAAACATCTGAATAGAAAATGAAAATAGCATGTGAATGCTGAAATAGCGTATTAAATAGCTGCAACTCTAATATAATTTATATTTGGATTTTAGTATAGACAGAATAATTAAATTTATTTCTGCAGTCTTTTCAGTTGTTAAACATTTTATTGAACTCTTCATGTGCCTTTCAGATGTATTGTGCTTCAAGTGTGCTTGTACCAGCTTTTTCTGTTTAGAAATGCTTGAGTGTCTCCATTGTCAAAACGATCAGAAGGCAGTAATTGTATTTCCAATGTGAGGACAAACAATACTAGATATCCTGCAATCCTACATTATAAAAAATATTCCCATCAAATGCCCCAATGGATAGCCACGTAAGTGATCATCTGTAATTATTTAGTCAAGAAATGAATATTTTACATGTAAATACTTTGAATGGCTTAATACAAACTAAATTTTTCAGAATGCAACCACTATGTAAATTGAAGAGAAAAAGACTTTTTATTGTAGAAACTTCCAAGAGTCTTTCAATATTTACAAAAATTATGTTGCTAATGGCAATACCTTAGTTATTTGAATCACCAGTAGAACACAATATAAAAACGTGCATTGTCACATCTGTACCCTGTCACATCCAGGATAACGATAATACTGAGATATATAACTATTTAGCCCTTATTTTAAAACATCAGGTAACAAGCATCAATCAATTTCTATCAAGTGTTTCAACTTGGGTATTATAGCATAAGCAGAAATATACTGTTACCAATATCCCAGCCAATTTCTTTTCCTAATGAAACAATAAAACTGAGAATGTAGAGACCATTTAGTAAAGTTGATATATATATGTGTGCATATGTGTGTGTGTGTGTATATATATATATAAATGTAATTAATACAATAGATGAGGTCAAAGAAGCAAGTGATACACAACTTTTAATTTGGATGGGATGTCCTTGAAGATTCCTGTATTAGTCCTTTCTCACATTCCTATATGCAAATACCTGAGACTGAGTAATTTATAAAAGAAAGAGGTTTAATTGACTCACAGTTCCCTATGACTGGGGAGGCCTCAGGAAACTTACAATTGTAGTGGAAGGTGAAAGGGAGGCAGGCACTTTCTTCACAAAATGGCAGGAAAAAGAAGGATGGAAGGAGGAACTTGCCGAACAGTTGTAAAACCATTAGATCTCGAGAGAGAACTCACTCACTATCATGAGAACAGCTTGGGAGAAACCACCTCCATGATTCAATTACCTCCACCTGGTCTCTCCCTTGACATGTGGGGATTATGGGGTTTACAATTCACCATGAGATTTTGAGTGGGGACACAGCCAAACCCTATCAACTCCTAAATCTTAATACACTTTATTACTAGCTGATATGATTTGGATCTGTGTCCCTTACCAAATCTCATGCTGAATTGTAATCCCCAATGTTGGAGGTGGGGTCTTGTGGGAGGTGACTGGATCATGGGGGCAGATTTCCCCCTTTGATGCTGTATCATGATAGCATCCTCATGAGATATGGTTGGTGAAAGTGTGTGGCACCTTTTCTCTTCGTCTCAGTCCTGCTTCTGCCTTGCAAGATTCGTGCTTCCACTTTGCCTTCTGCCCTGAGTAAAATCTCCCTTTAGCCTCCCCAGAAGCAGATGCTGCTATGCTTCCTGTTCAGCCTGCAGAACTGTGAGCCAATTAAACTTCTTTGCTTTATAAATTACCCCATCTCAAGTGTTTCTTTATAGCAGCAGTGTGAGAACAAGCTAATACACTAGCCTTCTTGAATACATATTAGCAAGCTCTTGAGCAGCGTAACCACATAGATTAGAGAAGGCCAAAACTGACAGATTCCCATCTTGACCAAAGTTTAATCATTCTTCTCTAGTCCCTCTTCTCAGGCCCAGTTTTAGCAAAGACTCCTGCTAAGCCAGTTCACTGAGAATCACTTCGCCCTTGATATCTTATCACTTTGGCATGCCTTTAGCAATAATGCAGTTTTAGCAAGAACCCTGCTCCCCACCACCCCACCCCCCGCCACCCTTAATATCTAATTAGTTTCTATCCACTGACTCACTCACTCAGCTCTTTGCTTATAAATTTCCAGCTCCATGCTGGGAGAAATTTTAGTTCAATCTCTCTCTACTATAGCTATATTATTCCCCCATTGCTATAGTCCTGAATAGTCTTCCTTGCTATTTTTAACAAGCATCCAGTGTACACATTTCCTTTTGACAAAACATAGTGTCCATATGTAGAGGGAAGAGGAAAGCTAACAAAATATAAAGTCATCCAAACCACACACACCTTGGACAAGCTTATCATGTGTGGGAATAAAATGCTGGAGGTGGGTTTGGCTTCCAAAAAAAACAAGTGTGTAATTTGAAATTCCATATCAAGAACAGTTAAATTCCCAGATTCTTTGTCATTACTGAATACCTTAGTAATTATTCTTCATTTAACACAACAGGAAATAGGAGATTTATTTTCTGGAGAGACTTGTCCAATTAAGGTGGGGATATGGTTGCTCTGTTGAGCAGAAATTTGGCTTATATAGACCCAAAGCTCAGAAAAAGAGTTATAGATCTAAAATGACAATCATTGAGACAATAAAGTTCATGGAAACCACGATGGGAAGCATCTACGTGGAAATAAAAAGTTGGATTTTCAGTAGAGAAATTGGTAACAATGTAAATTTCCTCTTAATGTCAGGTGAGAACTAATTCTGAAGTCAGAGGAGGAAAGTAGCCTACAACAAAGAGTAAGATCATCTTGACAGGATCAGGGAGAAAGATAATAGTTGTAAATGGAGACAGGTATATTGATTTAGTGCCAGGTAGTTGAAAGACTATGAATATAAAGACTTATATTTTCTCTGTGTTGCAGTAGCAAAGTCATCTGCAGAGAGAGAGAAGTGAGAAGGGAGAAGAGAGTGTCAGAAATTAGAGGATTGTAGAGATTGAAAAAGTTATGTCAGGCACAATTGAAAACCCAGTTTCCAATGGTGATCATTGTCTTAAAATATTATGTTTGTTTTCTTGCATGACATTCTTCAGCAGCAGTCATGGACTGAGAAATATGCAGAAATCAGATAGTTGAGTTCATCTAGAGAAGAGGTTGCAATGTGCTTCTAAAAAGGACAAAACCAAAAGCAACCGAGAGAGAGAGAGAGAGAGAAAGAGAGAGAGAAAAATGAAGATGTGAAAGGGGATAGGTCAAAACTCAGTAATTTTTTTTAAGCAAAGGGCCAGATAGTAAATATTTTTATTTTGTGAGCCATATTGTCTCTGTAGGAAGTACTCAGTTCTCCCATGTTCTGCAAAAGCAACCATGGACAATAAGAAAATGTGGCTGCGTTCCAATAAGAATTTATTTAAAAAATAGGTGATGGATTGTATTTAGCCCAAGGGAAGCAGTATGTCAATTCTGGTTTTATGTTACTGGCAATTACATTTTAAAATATTCAGTAATGGAATCTACAGTATTGATTCCCAACTATTGCTGCATATTAGTATCACAATAGAATGCCAGGTCCCAGAGACACTGGGTCAGCCAATCTCAATTGGGGCCAAGGCACTCATATGTATCTTTGGAACCTCCTCAGGCAATTCTAACATAAAGCCAGTGTTGAGAAGAGCCATTGTTAGTTTGCTTGTGGGAGTAACTGACCGCAGGAGGATCATAATGCAATAGGCGAAGGCTGAGGCACCAGTGGATTGAAAGTCTTAGTGAGGCAGGAGAACAGCTGCAGTGGGAATTGTTGCCACACTGAACAGACAGGAGATTGATCAAAGAGTGGTGTGCTTATTTAGTCATTTAAGAGGAATATCATGTTTTGTCATTATACATTTCATGGGTTTGGTAAGCAGCCTCTAAAATTGCTCCATGTCACTTGTACCCCTGGTAGAGGTAACTCCTTGAGGAATCTTCTACTCTGTTGTCCTAGTTGAATTTATCCCACTTCACTATCAAATCGACTGTGGCAGAAGTGATGGATATCACTTCCAACATTAGGTTGCACAAAGACTGTGGCTTCTGTCTTGGGAATCCTCTCTCTCTCTTTCATTGTAAGGGAAGCTGACTTCTATGTTGGGCGCTGCCTATTAAGAAGTCCACATAGCACGGAGCCAGTGTCACCAGTCACAGCCAGCAAGGAAGGACCTGGGGACTGCCCCCAGCCACATGATTAATCTTAGAAGTGAATCTTCCCTAAGTAAGGCTTTTAAATGATGGCAGCCTTATGAGAGTCCTTGAGCTAGAGGGCCTTACTAATTCTGATATAGTTCTTGACCCAGAGAAGTTGGCATAATGAATGTTTGTTGTTTTAATCCACTAAGTTTTGGAGGTAATATGTTAAGCATCAACAGATAACTAATAAAAGGAGTGATTCTGAGCAAGAAAGGCTTAAGTGGAGGGAAGCTAAGGTCGAATAGTTTATGAATATCATCCTGTAAGAATACAGGGCTTGGAGCTTTGAAGGTGGGAGCAGAAAAAAATTTATGTCAGCTTGTCATTAACAGTGTGACTAAAAAAGTTCGTTATACTGAAGGATAAATGCTTACATGTGCCTCAGAGAATAGATGTTTTTATTCCTGGGAAGAAAGATAAACTTTTTCAAAAAACATAAAGATTAAGTAGGATGCAGTTTCCAGCTTTGGATTCTGACATTCAGGACATGGGGAGGGTGATGAGCTTCTCCTGGAGGACTGAATTTAGGACACAATCAAGTTCATGATGGAAGCCCTTATGAGGTAGAGAGGGAGTGCATCTCAGCTCTTTTGATTAATTAAATGATTGTTTGAATTGGAGAAGGTGTGGGTATTTTGTGTTGTTTGGGTGAGTACATTGGAATGGTTTTCTAGCATTCCTTTGAGATTTTCCACAGTATAAGTTAAGGTAAAAGAACATTTTTACTTGTTTCAGAAAGCATACTGAGGAAGCTTTAATGTTACTATTAAGTAGGTAGGGAAATTGCCAATATTATAAACGCAGATTTCCAGCCTCTCTTTTTAATGCTTTCAGAATGATTCCAGAAGAACCTTGAAAATGTTGAGTATTTATATTTATTTTATGCCCTTTTATTGTGATTTTTTTAATAAATAAGTTTTTTTTGGTAAATACTGGAAGTTAATATTCTATAGTTTAGAAAAGCAATTTTGAACACTCAACTAGTGAGCCCATATAAAACTACATAACAGCACAGAATATAGTAAAATAATAATATAATGAACTGGGAGACAAACTAGGCACTTTGTGCCAAGTTTTTCAAGGAAGATACAATTTCAATACCAATGAAATAAACTCCCACAAATTGATTTTTCTTTGTGTGCACTCATCAGTGTAAATACAATTAAGTAATAAAGCCTGTACTTGTTCAGGAAAGATGTTTTCTATTCATAGTCTGATATCTGGGTGCTTTGGTTTCTGATAATTTGTTATGTAAAAACCCTGCAAATTTAAAAAAAAAAAATCAGCAGCTCCAAGTTCATGGGCCCTTATCACAGAGGATTTAAAACCTGTGCATTTTCTTTAAACTGAGAATATTATTACATTTTTTAATCCAGTGATGAGACCATAATAGTTTTCTGAAATAATTCAGAATAATTATATACCTAAAAGTTAATTTGCATGTGCTGTAATTTAAATAAAAGGACAGTTAATTTTTGCATTACAAAACATGAAAAATAAAATCAAATGTTGCATCTTTACTTTTGTTATTACATAAATTCCTTTACATTGTAGTGCCCCCTAGCACCACGCAAGTTTATAAACTGCTTTCAATATTAATTGTTATTATAATAATAACTAATTTAAGAATGTATTATTAAAGTCAGTAATTTAATAATAATAATTTCAATAATATATGTGTCACAAAAATACCTGAACTTACAATTAGTATATCTGGTTTACTGATGGGAATACTGTGGCTCAAAAACATCATCTCAGGCAGGGTGTGGTGGCTAACTCATGTAATCCCAGCACTTTGGGGGTCCAAAGCAGGTGGATCGCCTGAGATCAGGAGTTTGAGACCAGCCTGGCCAACATGGTGAAACCTCATCTCTACTAAAGTACAAAACCAGTCCGGCATGGTGATGCACACCTGTAATCCCAGCTACTCGGGGGGCTGAGGCAGGAGAATCACTTGAACCCATGAGGAGGAGGTTGCAGTGAGCCAAGATCACACCACTGCCCTCTAGTCTGGGTGACAGAGCGAGACTCCTTCTCAAAAAAAAAAAATCATCTCACCCAAATCATGTAGCTACAAAGTTATGGTTTAGAATAATTCAACTATTTTACTGATATCAAAACTTTTACTATTAACCAATCAGTTACACTCAGCTTTGTGTAACTGAATACCAAATAACATCAAGTTCCAGTAATTTTCATTTGAGTGAGAAGGGATCACACTGGTACCCTGGATACACCCAGATACACTAAATCAGAATCTCTAAAACTTGGTGACTGTAAAAATAATTTTATTCTGAGTCTGAAACATATGCTCCGTGTTTCTTAGCAAGTTTCTGCAGCACAGGAGTCAGCTGAGGGAAGGTAGCGCCCCACTCCTGGTTATGGAAGGCAGAGGGTGAGTGCTGCTGCACATATGAAGCTATGGAGAGAGCAAGACTGCATAGGAGCAGGGTACAGTCTCTGGATATAGAAGACAGATAAACTTGGGTTATAGTTGACCCAGTGGAAAATTATAGGCCAAGAATAAGTTTCCAGATACCTTAATAGGAATGGGCATTTGATAAATTTTGAAAGTTCTCTGATAATTCGTATGTGCAGTGTAGGCTAAGAACTCACGGAAACAATATAGACATTTTTTGCCTCTCAGGGATATGCACACACCCCAGTTCAGGTATGATGTCTTCATGATCATCAGAAATCCAGATGCCTATTATCTTGTTGCTTTGCACCTCCAAGTACTGCTGCTTCTCATGTTGCCCCATGGCTGCCCCAGATCTAGCCATCACAGCTGCCTTTCCAAGAAGGAAGAAAGCACAGAGATAGGACATGCCTCCTGCATGTAAGTCAGCTTCTCAGAAGTTACACGTGTTACTTCCCCTTACACAACATAGGTCAGAAATTGGTCACGTCATGCCCTATGTTAAGAAAAGATTGGGAATATAGCATTTATTCCTGGTGATCATGTGTCCAGCTAAGCATTAGAGGACATTTTTACTGATGGCGAAAGGGTCAATGGAGATTGCAGTTAACCAGCCATCTCTGTCCAATAGGCACTTTATTTGGTGACAATAATTATAGGAAAGGCAGCACTAGACAGTTTTAATTCATTGAAGTTATTTTGGGTTTTTCTTGTTAATTTGTTTGTTTGCTTATTTGTTTTATCCTTCAGAGAAATGCTAGAAATTTAGTAATTAAATTAAATATTTCATTGAACACAAAAGCATAATATTATGGAAAAGAGTAACTGTTGTTTGGTTTTATTTATATATGTTAGTGTTTATACTGACTAATCTCACCAATGGAGACAGACAATTTCTAAGATTTATTATAGGCATTGTGTTTAGATCTTTCTTTCAGAAAAGTAAAAATCAGCTTAACCCAAAAATTATTTTAATAATAATTGGCATATCCAGCTTCATCCATGTCCCTACAAAGGACATGAACTCATACATTTTTATGTCTGCATAGTATTCCCATGGTGTATATGTGCCACATTTTCTTAATCCAGTCTATCATGGATGGACATTTGGGTTGGTTCCAAGTCTTTGCTATTGTGAATAGTGCTGCAATAAACATATGTGTGCATGTGTCTTTATAGCAGCATGATTTATAATCCTTTGGGTATATATCCAGTAATGGGATGGCTGGGCCAAATGGTATTTCCAGTTCTAGAAGCTGGAAACCATCATTCTGAGCAAACTATCGCAAGGACAGAAAACCAAACACCGCATGTCCTCACTCATAGGTGCGAATTGAACAATGAGAACACCTGGACACAGGGTGGGGAACACGACACACCGGGGCCTGTCGTGGGGTGGGAGGAGGGGGCAGGGATAGCATTAGGAGATATGCCTAATGTAAATGACGAGTTAATGGCTGCAGCACACCAACATGGCACATGTATACATATGTAACAAACCTGCACATTGTGCACATGTACCCTAGAACTTAAAGTATAATAAAAATAAATAAATAATAATTGGCATATCCAGAAGCCCTTTGCTATCTTCTGCTACATTTGCACAAATTCACAGCTATTTGAATACCAGTCATTGTCAATCCTGGTCAGCTTTGAAAATACTGTTCCTTAGTTTTGCTCTCTGCCTGATTTACTTGGATTTAGGGGAAACCCAGGAATCAGTTGATTTGAGTATGTAGCCAATGTTGTAAAGAACTAATTGCTTTAACTTCTAATAGAAAAATATCACTATTTTTTTAAAAAGTTACATAATTCATGTGTAGGAACATAATCCTTTTAGCCTAGAAGTAAAAAATGATATAGTCTTGCCCTATAGCACTGATCATGGCCATATATAATTTATAATAACCAAAATAATGACAATATTTTGGTAAAGCATGCTCGATTAATTTGAATGCTCACGAGTTAACACATAATTGAATGTGATATGTATTAGGTTATAGAAAACCATGAAGTAAAAATCATAGGCTGCATTGAACTTTCTACTTTCCCAACTTTGCCTCATTATAGGGAGGGATGCAGCCCTAGAGTTCAAGAATTCCATAAAGACCAACCTGAAATTCTGGTGCCTGGCATCTTGTCACACCTCCTTCCAATACACAAACATCAAGGAGTGTAGAAGTTGAACATGGTCTGTTGTCACTGCCTCATAGAATCCACTTCTAGCTTGTTCACACTAGGGTGTGAACATTTAAAGAGGGTAGGGAAGAACCACCTGGGTGGATTTTCACTGGGGATCTTATAATAAACTCTCAAAATCCCAGATTGAGACAAGGGAAGGGATGCTCAGTCTTATGTAATTAGGAAAAAGAGAGGAATTTTGAACCCACCCCTGCATCATCTAAGTCAAATAGAGCCAGTGTAACTGTTGGGACCGTTGCAGGTAGGGTGTGCTAGGTACCAAGCCGCAGTTAGGTAACCAATGACTTTTACAAGCTTATTTTCATCTCAGTACACCACATGCTTCATGTGCCACTTGCATGTATGTAAGTTACACATCTAAGATTATATTATTGGGTTACACTACTATGAATTATCTAAGGAAAATAGAATGATCATCATTGTGTGTGCAAAGACGACTTCTGAAATTAATACCAACAAGAGATTTCTTCTTTGCATATTTTCAAGCAGAAAGTGGACTAAATTATATCATTGGAGCATGACGTCTCAAAAAATATTTATTGCCAAATAATTCTCTACTGCTAAAAATTATTTATTGCATGAAATAGAAAAGATCTGAGACTGAAACTTCCATTTAAAAACATGAATTATTTAAAAAAATAGAGTAATTACATAACAATTATGAAACTCAGATGCCAGAGTCAGAAATCAAGAAATTAACTATGTCAAGCAATTACAATATGATTACAAAGGCCCTTATATATTCATACAAGCTTTTTGCATTTTTTGAGCTAATTTTATGAAAAACATCAAAAGCCAGAAAACTAATGCTTAATGTATATTTTAAGGCCAAGAACAATATAGAAAAATTAATTTTCTCCTTAAAGTTTTTTAAGATATTTAAAGTAAACATTTTAAAAATTATTTAATCTGTGACCCAATTTGAATCACTTTGCTCTTCAGATTCCGATGTCTCCACAAAAATTCCGATGTCTCCTTGAAATTAGCTGATACATTATAAGAAATGAATAACTGTCCTGTCCTATTTGGGACACACATAAAAGTTACCCCAAAGGTTTAATTAGATAGTGAAGTACAAAAATACAGATTTGTAAAATATTAAATATATAAACAATATAAATCTCTATTTTGACAAGTGACTTGATAAACTAGGTTAAGTAATTGTTAATAGAGTTGGGTAAAGGCAGTGATGTTGGTAAACTAGTGATCCAAATGAAAAGAAAGTCGGCTGGGCACGGTGGCTCACGCCTGTAATCCCAGCACTTTGGGAGGCCAAGGCGAGTGGATCACGAGGTCAGGAGTTCGAGACCAGCCTGGCAAATATTGTGAAACCCCGTCTCTAATAAAAAATACACAAATTAGCCCAGCGTGGTGGCATGGTGCCTGTAGTCACAGCTACTCAGGAGGCTGAGGCAGGAGAATCGCTTGAACCAGGGAGGTGGAGGTTGCAGCGAGCTGAGACCACACCACTGCACTCCAGACTGGGCAACAGAGTGAGACGCCATCTCAAAAAAAAAAAAAAAAAAAAAAACAGAAAAAAAGAAAGTCTTGATACATGGTGTATGCTGCATGTATGTAAGCTACACTTCAAAGAGTAAGTCCTCCCACCATAGCTGTTTTCAAGTTATTACCATTTCAAGATACTAACTCCTGTGAATAGGAGGGTGAAGTCTTTAAATTACAGGAAATTGCAATAAAAGCCTGAGGCAAAGATATTTCAAGGGTTTTGGTTAAACAAAAGACACATTGGCTGGCATGAACAAGAGGAATCCACTATTGAAACCATCTTAGTCAATGGCAGGAAGACAGTGTTATGAGTCTACTGGTTACAGAAAATCTTTGTTTTAAAAACTCAGGTTTATCGAATTAAAATTTATATATGGCAAAAGTCATCTTTTTAAGTATGCAGTGTGTTGAAAACATAGATGGTTATATAACAAATACCATCCTCAAGATATAGAACAGTAACATCACCTAGAAAAATTCCCTTTTGTGCCTTTTGAATCAATATTTCTGCTGCCCTCAGTCTTTGGAAATCGCTGTTCTCTGTCCCTATGGTTTTATATTTTCTAGAATGTCATACACAAGGGAGCAAACAGCATCCTGAATAGGCCTTTAAATCTGGCTTTTTAAATAGCATAATAAATCTGAGACACATTCACGTTGTTATGTTATCAGATTTGTTTCTTTTTCTTCCTAACATGATATTAAATAGAAACAGTATATAACTTTTTGACTATTCACCAGTTTTTGAAATTATGAATCATATGGTTAAAGTCACCAACAGATATACATATGGATATTACATATATGTATATAGTATACATATAAATCAGTGGATTCCTCAATTTTTTATTGTCAAAATGATTTTTCTATTATAATTCCTTTGCTTCTCTATTGAAAGTTTTAGAATGAGCTTGTTTGTTAGTTGCAAATATCCTGTTAGGAATTTTAACTGGATTGAATTTTTGTATTGAATTTTTGGATTGGTTTGAACAGAATTAATTTATTGTCAATATTGGCTACCAAGCTCTTTACTTATTTACTTCTTCTTTGATTTCTTTTACCAGTGTTTTTTTAGTTTTTGTTACCCTTTCTCCATGTTTTTTTAGATTAAGAATTTCATGTTTCTTGTGCTACTTTAAATGTAACTTTAAAAAATTCTAATTTCCAATTGTTCATTAATAGTGTTGTAAAGTAGTGGGTCCCCCACCAGGGAATTTAAGGGCATATGTTGACTGCTTGAGTCCTGAAGGCTAGATGGTGAGCAAAGTTCATGGTGCTCAGCCGAGGAGCAGATGTCCCTGAAAACCAAAACATCCGGGAGCATATCTAGGTACATACCAAGAAGAACAGTTTCATCACATGTAGTAAGCAAAGACCCAGAAGAGTAGCTTTGGCCGGGCGCGGTGGCTCATGCCTGTAATCCCAGCACTTTGAGAGGCCAAGGCGGGCGGATCACGAGGTCAGGAAATCAAGACCATCCTGGCTAACATGGTGAAACCCCGTCTCTACTAAAAATACATAAGATTAGCCGGGCGTGGTGGAGGGCGCCTATAGTCCCAGCTACTCGGGAGGCTGAGGCAGGAGAATGGCGTGAACCCGGGAGGCGGAGCTTGCAGTGAGCCGAGATCCCGCCACTGCGCTCCAGCCTGGGCGACAGAGCCAGACTCCGTCTCAAAAAAAAAAAAAAAAAAGAAAAAGAAAAGAAAAGAAAAGTAGCTTAAAAGCAGCTTAGAGGAAGATGGTGGGCAGCAGGCGGATCTCTGGAGTTATCCCGCTGCCCTTTACGTAAGTCCTAATAAACTCATCTTCTCATGAAGCTGGACTTGTCTGAGTCCTTCTTTGTTATTCCAGCTCTATCTCTTTGGCAGAGGGATGTTCTTCTACACAGGTCTGGGTTTTTCCTGCAACAATTACATATAAAAAATAATTCTGTATATTAACATTATAGTGTTATAGTGCATAGTGTGAAATTACAAAACTCACAATTTATTTCTAGTAGCTTCACTTTTAATAATTTTAATTATTTTGTACTCACAATTTATTTCTAGCAGCTTCACTTCTAATAATTTTAATTATTTTGTACATAATGGAATATTGTGCATAGACCATCCACGAATCAAATAGAGTTTTATTTCTTCGTATCCAATTTGTATGCCTTTTGTTTATTTTTCTTACTTTAGTACACTGGTTAAAATTTCCAGTATACAGTTAAATAGTTCCTGAGGACAGGTTTCCTGTACTTCTTTTCTTCGTGCCTCTGTATAACGTATATTTAACTATATAATACATACAACACAACTATGTTTGTCTTCATATAATTTTTTTACCTTTTTTTTAGTTTGTTTACATAGCCCCTATATCTCTAGAAATGTTTCTTGGATTTACGATTTGATTGCCTTCACTTCTTTTGGAAAATTCTCATTCATTTTGTTATTAAGTATTTATCATCCTTGTTCTCTTTCATGAATCCGTTCAAGTTAGGCATCCAGAGCTGTCCTTCAGCTCTTGGATGCCATGTTCTGCTATTTATCACTCTTCTTGTTTCTTACTTGTATTTGTTATTCAATTTCTGTGTTTTTTATCTTCAACTTTACTGTTCCATTCTTTATTCATATCAAGTCTTCTGATGAATTACTTCATTGGTGTTTGCATTTTGAGGTAGATACAACAGTATATCTATTGAGACATTAATTAGTGCAATTAAACCGAAGTTTAACACATTTTAAGTAAAAATTTATCCCCCTATCGCATAAAACTTGTGAAAGTTAAAGTCATCAGCACTTAATATTGTCTGTCATGTGAGGCAATCGGCACTCAAGTGGCAAATGCACTCATTTAACTCTAAATTGCTACTTTAGTTAATCTCTCATATTGATTTTTTTAACCCTTAAACACTGGCAAAGAGAAGCATACACATAAAGAGAGATTTTTTACATTATTGTTTATTTAGTTAGTTTTTAGAAACAAGGTCTCCTCTCTCTCTCAGGCTGGAGGGCTGTGGTGCAATCACAGCTCACTGCAGCCTCAAAATCCTGGGCCCAAGCATACCTCCCACCTCAGCCTCCCAAGTAGCTTGGATTACAAATGCCTGCCTCAGTACCCGGCTACTTTTAAAACATTTTTTGATACACATAGGGTCTCAGTTTGCTGCTCAGGCCGGTCTCAAACTATTGGTCTCAAGCAATCCTCTTGCCTCAAGCTTCTAAAGTTCTGGGATTACAGGTTAACCAGGACACCTGGCCTAGAGGTTATTTTTTGTTGTTTTAGTTTCTTTATTTAATAGTCTGTGTATTTAAATTTTGTTGACAATAATCTTAACAGCAACAATAGTATCTACTTGAAAGGTATGCATTCTATATATAATTCCTTAGATATAAATTTAAGTATAAATATTTGAAAACTCTTTAATTTTTTAATATTGTGTCCCATTTCTTAAAAAAGAGAGAAGCTATATTAACTTTTGAATTCAGTACACAGTTAACAGTTCTTTCATTTAATATGTGATAATATAAATTTAACAGTGAAACTTTCAAATACTCATATTAACTTACCCTGATAGATTTTATAGCTTTAATATAAAACTTCTCATAAATGTAAAATTTGACAAAGCACAATATTCTCCAGGAAGTCAGAAAAGTAATATAATTTTCTGTCTCTCAGAATGTGTTTTCTAACCTCTAAATATAAATTGATGGACTAATCTTTTAAAATTCAGAATCAAATATAATTGCTTTGGTTTAATCATTGAGAATTCTTTTTCCATTCCATCATTTTATAGTTTTTGCCTAAATAAAATACTTAAGGAAGTTATTGTTATGTTGTATTTGAAAGATGCCTGATGGAGAAACATTCATAGCTCTTTTCTATCCTTATGAAAGGTTATATGAAAACATATATATATATATATATTTATATATATAAATGTGGATAAAGTACAGAAAATCCTATCATTGCCTCTGACTCAAATGGTAATCTTTAATATAAAGATTTGAAACTTTCATGGAACAGTATATCAGAACTTTATTTCCAATTTGTTTATGTATACTTAACGTATATCCTAAGTATCAAGAAATCACATTCAATTAACATATACATTATAAAACAATTCCTATATGATAATTCTAATAAGTAAACATGATTTTAGTGGTAGTAATTATTCAATCAAATATTCATATTTTAAAGATTAAATCTTCATATTTTAAAGCACATTACATCAGTTTACAATTCGATATTGACTACTGGATAGAATTTATCAATGAAATTTTGAATATGCCATGGTTAATGCAGATCATGTGAATTAAATTGCAAGGCAGAGAGCTTTTAAATTAAAAAAATAAGCTGGTTTATAAATCCAGTGCTAGATAGTTAGTAAAAGCAATACATGTAAATCTCCCAGACACCTCCCAATCTTGGTATTTTGAAATATTTTCCTCTTTTTAATATTATTTAAATAAAAAAATTATCTGCCTTTAAGCAACAAAACATGAACTCTTGGTAGAAAATTCACTAATTGACATAGGTATGTAGACTTATAAACCTGTAAAAAATGTGAAATAGAAGGCATAAAGTATTTGAGTCAATAAATTACTAACTAAATATTTTAATTAAATCAGCTTTATAAAAAAAGTAAACATAAACACATAAGTCTTTGTATAAGCACCCCTACATTTTTAAAAGTATATTTGCCTTTTCATAAACTCAGTTGAGTAGTGGTAACATTCATCATCACAACTTTTTAGAGGCAATGAAATTGATGTCATTTGAGATCTTCATCTTTTATTTTCTTATTTTGTCATGTTTAGCAAAGGATAGTAAAAGTAGAGGATCATTCAACCCAGAAATACAGGGAAACTGATCCTTGTAAATAGCACCCTTTATAGACTAATGGATGTTTTAAGAGCAAGATGTGCTAGAAAGGAAAATAAGGCAATCTCTTAATGCTGTGCCTTTTCTTCCATTATATTTTTAGATTATATATTATCCCTTGTTTATTTCTGTAGCTGGGGAAAATATTTTTATTGAAATAGATTGTTTTTTGAAGTTTGCTATATTAGGTAAAAATAAATACCAAACTTCTCTGTCTTCAGTTTAATAGAAAAAAAAAATCCCTTGTTACTCTGTTTCTGCCTTACTGTTAGTAGAAAGATTTATGATTAAGTAATTTTAGTAGGACAACATTAAGAACAAAAACATGAACCAAAATACTTTTTAAAATAAATATACACATTTTTACTATATATAGACACATATATAAAAGTATATATACATATATGTATATATGTGACTTCAATAACAGGAAAATAGATTTTCCAGATGAAGAATCTAAACATCTCATCCATAACAAAAGCTTAGGCTCTATACCAATGCTTGAATGAAAACTGTAATATCATCCATTTAAAAAAATGCCAACACATGCATAATTTTAGGCTGTAAAAATGAAAATATTTCAGAATTGATTAACAAATGGTGGAAGTTAAAGTTGTCTCTTCCCGACCTGCACTTTGTTTTCTGTCTCTTGCCTTTTCTCACATTTTATTTTTCCTTCCTATCTCAACAATATACCCCACCTGCAGTGTGCCCAATGTGGACACATACCTGCTTTTTTCAGGCACTGTTTTGGACAACATTTCCCTACTGAGCATTAAATCACTTTTTCTTAAATATGTACTAAAGATTTCCATGGCTGAAAAGCTAGTTCCACATACATTAATAATCCTTGAAGAATTAAATCAGATACAACCTCTACATCAGCACAATATTTCAAGGTGGTAAGGGAGTGCTACTGCTGGGTTTGTCTTCACTTAATAACTTTATTAATGATGTGGATGAGTGAACAAATATGAAAAGAAAATTTATAGGTATTACATATGTAGATTCTGCAGAAACAAATAGGCTGGAAGGTAATGACTGTAGAATGACCTAGAGAGGTTAAAAAAAGAAAATAGTAGTCCAATATTATTCCACTTTTAAGTAAATGAGACCATTAAGCTCTTTAAAATAACCAGTAGATAAAAACTCAAAGCAATGATAGCTACATCAAAAAGTGAGGGAAGAGGGGAAATTATATGTTGCAATGTTACAGAGTACATTAAAGCATTCAGTATATTTCCTGAAAATTTCGTAAGCACAGTTCTTAATGTTTATTCATAAATAAACAAAACCAAACCAAAAGCCATAGTTCATTTGTTTCTAACTAAGAGTACAAATTATTTATGCGGAAAAGTACATATAAGCTCACATAAATAACATGAATAATGTTTTCATTGTGAAGATATTCATAACGTTAAAATGACAAGGTCTTAGGAACTCTGCACCTTCATTAATTTTAATCAATATTTAACATCAAGATTGTTTTCAATAAATCATGATCTAATAATGAAAGGGGGAAACTATTTGTTTTAACTTTCATTTCGGTTTTACCCTTTACTCACAAGTTGAAATTCATTCTCACTCTTTGCAAACTATTTTGAAACATTTCCAGGTAAAATTCATATAAATATTTTATTTTTCCTAATTTTTGGAAAAATTTTAGACTATTACAATCTGAGTTAATAGCCTAGTTCCTTTGTTGATCCAGTGTAAATAAATATTTCTCTTTTCTTGCTGTATTAAAAAACTCAGTCTCTATAACCAAGTCTATATCTGTATCGATATCTATCTGTATCTGTATCTATCTATGTGTATCTCTATCGATGTATGCATACACAAATAATATCTGTGGAAGAATTTTTTTTCGTGTAGTGTAATATCCACAGCTCTTCTACTTTAACCATAACTCAGGTTAATAACATTTTATTGTCTTTTGTTAGTTTTACCTGGAAAAGAAAGCACATCATATACAATATTATAAAATAGAAATAAAACTAAATATAGTGTTTTAGAAGGTAACAAAGTTTTATGTTTAAGGATATTAAATAAAATCTATTTCTTCCAGTATATTTTTTCACAATCTGTCTTAAATGGAATCTGCAGTTATCTTAACAAGTTGACTACTAGATTTTGTAGTGTATTCCAATCAGTTATCTATCTGAGGCCACTCTTTTTTTAATAATCTAGGCTTCTGTAGACAATGTGGAAACATTTTTAAAATGATGACGCCCTCCTTTTCCTTCGTAGCTAAATCAGTACACAAAATTCTAATTATTTCCTTAGTTTTAATAATAATAAAGCAATATAAGATTCACCCTCTGTATTCAATTCTTTGTTACCAATTCTGCTATAATTAGAATTTTTGAAATTCTTAGTTATAACCTTTATTTTTGATAATTGCATTTAAAATGCAATGATAAAGCAAATAATTAAAGTGCTAGGAATAAAATTGTCCTTTATTAGTTTATCATAAAGTTCCATAAATTTCAGCTCTCCTTGATTTCTCATTATTCTAGTTCATCAATTTTGTAATTAATCATTAAACATTATTCTTTCTCTGTATTAAAAATATTAGCAATTACAAAATCCCTATTTAATATTACATTTATTGTTTTAGTTTGATGCTTTTTTTTTAGTGATATGTACAGATGACAAAAAAATGATGTGCAGCCTTTGTGTTCCATTTATTGTTGTGTAAAATAAAATTTCATCAATCTTGGATAAAAATTCTTAGGCCTATGATTATATTTGAAGGAAACACTAACTAACTTCTGACATGATTATTTACAACACACATTTTCTTAACTTGTCTTCCATTTTAATGGAGCTATAAATAGCTTTGGCAAATTTTTCTGCTTTGCTGTTAATTTAACTCAGTAGATTTATTGAAATTTTAAGACACCATGTTATGCAAGATTTAGGGTATGTGACTACTCTTTCCTCCTGTGTGGAGGTCGACATTGCCACAGGCTAATACCATAGTTCCCCTAACTGGTCCCCTCCCAGAAGTGAGTTGCAAGTTCCTGCTGACTTTCAGAATTATTTCTCCATGTTTATGTCATTTTGATGCAAGAGAGGTCAATACACAGGTATGTCATCAAAATAATATTTAGACTATGTCGTTCCCACAAAAATCAACTTATATGCCATGTTTTACTCACTACCAAGGTCTTGTTGAATACTACTTGTTTCATTCCTCTAGCCAGGAGACAACCTAGCAGGTATACTGCCTGAGCACCAAGAAGTTATCATATAATTTATGTTTCATTGACCTCTCTTACCTTGTCAAATTACCCACAATAATTTTGGTAAAGTTGCATCTAACTTGGTATGGACTAAAAATACTTGCGTCGCCCCCAAAATTTGTATGTTAAAACCCTAATTCCACTGAGATGATATTTGGAAACAGGGCCTTTGGGAAATAATTAGGTCATGAGTCTCTCTCTTTCTTTCTCTCTCTCTCTCTCTCTCTCTCTGTCTGGTCTCTCTCTCTGTCTCTTTATGAGGACATGACAAGGATTGGAGGTTTTACCTGTAACCATTGACTGGCACCTTTATCTTGGACTCTCAGCCTCCAGAACTCCGAGAAGTAAATTTCTATTGTTTAAACCAGTCAGTGTATATTGTTTTTGTTGTTGTTATAGCAGCTTGAATTAAGACACAATTTTCCTAAAACTTAAAAATGTCAGATTGGTGGATAAAATTGTATTTCATTGTGCTTTTTTCTTCAAGCCTTATACCTCTGACTCCAAACTCATAGTAACCAGTGTAAGACATGGTAGAATCTTTCCACTAGTGCTTGGGACACTATTTATAGTATCTACCCAATCTAATTTTAATGAAAAAGTTGAAGGTTGGTATAAAAAAATGTTTATCATCTAGGAGTTCCAGGATCAATTCAACATACTTGTGATGGTCTCATGTAGTAGCAGTGACAGTCAACTACAAATGGTGCCTGAACAGGGACATTTCAGAGACTATCAGGGACATACAGAGACCTGAAAGGACCTGGAGGGACCTGAAGAGGCCTGCAGGGATAAACAGAGATAAGTAGAGATAAGTAGAGAAAAGTAAGTAGAGATAAGTAAGTAGAGAAAAGTAGAGATAGGTAGGGAAAGACGGGGACTTGCAGGAACTTGCAGGAACTAACAGGTACCATAGGGACAGACAGAGACAGATAGGAATAGACAAAAGACTAGCAATATAAGATCAGTGCCCTGAAGAGGTACTAGTCAGTGTCCTAAAGAGGTACAAAAGTAGAGACTAGCAAAGACTAGGAGAGATTTGGAGGAACAGACAGGGACAGATAGGGACAGATAGGGTCCTATAGGGACTAGAGCGAGGAAGGTCTGCTGGAACAGAAAAAACTAAAACCAACTAGATGAACGAGAAAGCCCATTACAACTCTGTTGGCAGCAACATAAGGTTAGTGCTCTAAAAAGGTACTGGTCAGTGCCCTAGAGGTACAAAGAATGGGAAGTTTTTAAAACAGGGAAACATGAGGAAGAATTTGGCTATTTCTTTTCTCTTTTTTGTTTGTTTGGAGTTTTGGTATGTACCATCTTTTTGTTATTTAGAATTTTTTGCCCCACCTACAGTGCCTATCGAAAATGGTGAACAGAAGAGGGAGAATGAAAATTGGCTTGTATCGTCTTCTTTTGTGGCTACAGAAAGGCTAACTTTAGCTTTGGCTTTCATGGATTGTAAACGTGCACTGGCACCTGTGAGATGTGCAGAGGACTTGGGAGGCTTTCTCAGAGCTTGTCAAGATGTGGGAACTGAGCTTCATTGCTCTGCACTATTGACTCAGGCAATAGCAAATTTGGTAGCTGACAGATCTAAAAGAAGCCAAGGGTCAAGCCCTAAAGTGGGAAAGTGTTATAAGTGTAGAAAACTTGGACGTTTCAAAAGAGAATGCCATCAGACCTCTGTGAAAAAGAGATCTTGTAACATAGTCCCCCTCTTAACAGAAAAAAATGCCGGGACTTTGCCCTCGATGCAATAAAGGAAATCATTGGGCTAATCAACGCCACTCAAAATTTCATCAAAACGGCACCCCCCTGTTGGGAAGCAAGAAGGGGGCCTGGACCCGGGTACCTCAAACTATGAGGGCGTTCCCCGTCCAGGCCACAACTCCGTTTCAGGGGTGGGTTTCCAGAGGCACATTGATTCCCTCGCCCCAGGAACACCTGGAAACGCAGGATTAGATCTTCTAGAGAACCAATTACATTAAATGAAAGAAACAAACTCACTAAGATTCACATTAGTATTTGGTGATCTTTGCCAACAAGATACATGGGATTGATTTTGGTAAAAGCTCTCTTAACTTACAGGCCCAGGAGTTGTTGATTTTGATTGTGAAGGAGAAATTCAGGTAGTGGTAACGTCACAAGATCTTTGGGTTTTTGAACTGGGAGAATACGTTGCTCAATTTTCGCTTCTTCCCTGTAAATTGTACCCTTCTCCACATAAGAAGAAGCGAGGTGGTCAGGGATTTGGAAGTGCAACTAGGAGAGAGATTTATCTATCACCACCCATAGCATCTAGTGGACCCACCTGTACAGTGCAAATTGAAGGTTTAAGGATTGCTTTTTGCTATACTGTTTTACGAGAAGGATAAGCCTCGATTTGCTTTCTCTGTGCCGTGTGTTAATCAGAAAGAGCCTGCTTCTTGTTATCAGTGGAAAGTTTTACCCCACGGCAATTAACCAAAGAGGCAGAAGGTGAGTTACAAATGTTTCAGCAATGGCGTGCCTCCCGGCTACAGCAAAAAAAATAAAAAATAAATAAAAAAGAAAACACTTTTGATTCTGTTTGGTAGA
Source organism: Homo sapiens (assembly GCF_000001405.40). Taxonomy (NCBI): domain Eukaryota; kingdom Metazoa; phylum Chordata; class Mammalia; order Primates; family Hominidae; genus Homo; species Homo sapiens. Next base: position 21,282,791 of record NC_000005.10, on the reverse strand, counting down.
TTTACTAATGTGGGGACGAGGGTATACTTACGTCTTTGCAGAAGATGAACAAACCGAGTGGGTGCTCTCAAGGTGTGTACGACCGTGGAACAGGAGACTGGAGGGACCCATGGATCCCAACCATGGACCTTGTTCCCCCAGTATGAACCATGAACCAGTTGAATCTGAATGCAAAGATGGAATGAGGACCACTAGAAGCAGGGAGCTCTCTTCTTCCCCATGCTAGCCTTTCCTTAAAAGTTTCTTTTGTTTTTTGTTACCATTTCTATGTTCGTCTCTTCATTCAGTCTAGTAATGACGGTCTCAAGTAGTAACCGTGGCAGTCAGCCACACTTAAATCTTAATGCTTTTGAATTCTAGAAGGAACTCAAAAAGAGACAAGTCAGTCATAGTAGTAATACACGGAGAATGAATTGTGAAATCTAAGAGACTGAATATCATGTCAAGCATAAGCTTTTTCAAAGCAATTAAATTGGGCTTTTAATGACATTACTTAGACTTTCCAGACAAAATGTGTAACAATACAGCTAATTTTAATAAAATGACTTTGAAATCCCCAAACTCAAATATAATCTCATGAAGTAATTGTTTGTGATAACGCCTTAATATGTTTTATACCATCATTATGAAAAACAGTGCAAGAGAAAGGAGAAAAAATTCTTTATTGTGAGTTAAAAACTTTGAAACCTAAATCAATCATTTTTATTGTTTCAAGAAATATTTCCCCACGGCTACTTTAGTAGCAAAATCAAAGTCAGGAGCCCAGGCTTCTGTAAACAAAGTTTAATTTTATCCCCTCCCCCTTTCTTCTCTGTCTCATAATTTTCTCAGTACTTTTTAAGGAGCGAGAGGCATCCCCATGAATGACGCTGTTATAGGTTCTAAGGCAGAGGATGTGATGATGATGATCTTTGGGAAACGGTGAGGTGAATGTTGTCCACAAAGCTGCTTTCTAGTAGGGTGTCTGTGGGAAACTATACCCCTTCTGTGGGGTCTTCTGAATGTAGCTAATACTATTTTTGTTTGGGCTGGAAGTTTTTTATTATTATTATTTTTACACTTTAAGTTCTAGAGTACATGTGCATAACGTGCAGGTTTGTTACATATGTATATATGTGCCGTGTTGGTTTGCTGCACCCATTAACTCATCATTAACATTAGGTATTTCCTCTAACAGGCCCCTGTGTGTGATGTTCCCCACCCTGTGTCCAAGTGTTCTCATTGTTCAATTCCCACCTGTGAGTGAGAACATGCAGTGTTTGGTTTTCTGTCCTTGTGATATTTTGCTGAGAATGCTGGTTTCCAGCTTCATCCAAGTCACTACAAAGGACATGAGCTCATCCTTTTTTATGGCTGCATAGTATTCCATGGTATATATGTGCCAGATTTTCTTAATCCAGTCTATCATTGATGGACATTTGGGTTGGTTCCAAGTCTTTGCTATGATTAATAGTGCCTCAATAAACATATATGTGCATGTGTCTTTATAATAGCATGATTTATAATCCTTTGGGTATATACCCAGTAATGGGATGGCTGGGTCAAATGGTATTTCTAGTTCTAGATCCTTGAGGAATTGTCACACTGTCTTCCACAATGGTTGAACTAGTTTACACTCCCACCAACAGTGTAAAAGTGTTCCTATTTCTCCACATCCTCTCCAGCACCTGTTGTTTCCTGACTTTTTAATGATCGCCATTCTAACTGGTGTGAGATGCTGTCTCATTGTAGTTTTGATTTGCATTTCTCTGATGACCAGAGATGATGAGCATTGTTAAGTTCTATCCTCTCCATATGTCCATGGGGCTGTTGGAAATATTCTTTTTCTGGGCTTCATGCTGTGCCCAGAGCATTTCCTTTTTCCTTCTCTTTTTTAAGGCGAGGATGCATCTGTTTTCATAAGGTTTGTGATAAAACAACACTCAAGTTTTGCAAGTTACATGATTGTCATCATCATCGCACTAATTTTTTATGAAATATGCATTTTAATTACTTCCAAGAGGGTTTATTTCTAATGAAAAAATTAAACAATAAATAATTTTAGACTTACCCCATGCAAGAAATGACAAATTCACTGAAGCAAACATGTTTAGGCTACACTGTATACAATCTACAAATTGCCTGCTCAGTCTCAGTTTCTTGCATATATTTCTCATACATCTAAATGTTAATTTCCACACTTCTGTCTCTCTGAATCCCTGGCAAATGGCAATAGCTAGTGACTTTGCATTCACATATCAGAAAAACATGAATCCGGACACACTTCCGGGAGCATGGGACGTGCTAGGAATTTACTGGATAATAGGAACTGGTATGTTATTTTGAGAGTGCTAAAATTCTCCCAGTGAATGTAACTTTGCCTATATTTTATATAACTTATTGGTTTTGGTTTGATAATTAAAAATATCAAAATTATCCTGGGGCAGGAGCCAAGGATGGTATTATACAGTGAGAAGTGAGTCCTACATGTCAGTCTTGTCATTTTCTTCCTCAGATAAAGTGCAGAATTTTGTCATCAGTAATATGAAAGAGAGATTTTACAGAAAAATTGCCAATTTTTGTCCATGAAGATGAGGGCAATATGCTAACTATCAATGGACTAAAAGATGGCATATATTTTTTAGTAGGACATCCATGCAAGACTGCATTTCTTACCTGTTGACTATTACAGTAAATAGAAAATAATTATTTTAATTAAGTGACTACAATTTAGGGCATTTGTTGTAGAAATTTACAAATGTTTCACATTGCTTGACTTCAGGGGGCACCATTTTTACATCATCCATTTCTAATAGCATGGCCAAGAGTATACTCCAAGTAACAAATGAGGTATAGCATATGAGACAAAGTAGAAACACTTAAGGGGTTAAAGAAATTTTCACCCGTATCTCTATGATGCAAAGGAAAGCAAAAGACAAAGAAACAAGCAAAAAAGAACAAGTGGTCGCCAAGCTGGACTGCAGTGATAAAACCATGGCTCACTGCAAACTCTGCTTTCTGAGCTCAAGCAATCCTCCCACCTCAGCCTCATGGGTAGCTGGGACTACAGGTGCCCACCACCACTCCTGGCTAATTTTTGTGTTTTTAGTAGAGACAGATTTTTGCCACATTGGCCAGGTGGGTCCCAAACTCCTGAGCTCAAGCAATCCATCCACTTCGGCCTCCCAAAGTGTTGAGATTACAGGCATAAGCCACCACACCCGGCCGCTGCATTTTTTTTTAATGGGAAATAACAAGCATATTCATTACATATAAAATGACATATTTAGAAATTTTGTAGGCTTTATAAATTCTGTTGGATAATGGAAAATTTTTTATTGTATTTTTTGTGTATGAGAATATATGTTATAAAGTAAAATCTACATAGAGGGAAATGGGATTGTGAAGATAGTAACTATAGGTGAGGAGATGGATGAAAGAAAGGTCTTACACTGCTGTAAGGAGCTGTTACTATATCTTCTTCATATTTTTGTAAAACATATCTTATTAGAAGACTTAAGTTACTTATTTTTTTCTGATATGTATATATTCACCTCCATTTTGAAGGCTATTAGTCTGGGAAACCTACAAGAACATTGCGTAGGCAAGCTCAAGTATGTTAACAACAACAAAAATAGTTCTGTGAATGCCTTTACATAATATAAGGTCTACATATTCTCTCTACATCTGTGCGCCGTAAGACTGGATTTTGAAAAGCTAAGGCATAGACTGATAGCTCTTTACCACACTTGTTTTTTCTTCTTTCTGGATACATAGCTTGGCTATATTTCCATGCAACTGTGTCCCGGTTAATGTGTACCACTTTTAGAGGGTGGTACATATAAATGTTTCTTCCAGTTCTTTCAACATGTGTCATTTGAAAAAGGAGAACTCTGAAGCCCTCTAGGAAGTTGGAGCTATAATACTGGAGGCCAGTTTCCTGAATTACTCCCTGGTAAAAGCCACCCAGACAAGAAATGCCTTTATTTGAATGTTATTAATGAGAAACACATTTTAAACTTTCAGCCACTTTAACTTTGAGGATTGTTTGTTAAAACAGCTGGTGTTACCCAAACTGTTATAGGAGTCTACTAAATGTCATTTCATTTTTTTCCCTTCTCAAACTCAGAATGAATTGGGAGATAGCCGTGGGCGTTAAAACTGTTTCAAGAAGTGCAACTTAGCGTTCAGGGCTGACCTCATGAGCTTCCAGAGACATTAGAGTAAGTGACCCTTATTCTAGTTTCGAAGCTCTGTTCTAGTTCTAAGCATGCAAATAAATTTTAAGCAGGATTTCTTAGCCTGCAGGAGCTGAGGATGATTAATAAGTCCTGCTGTTATGCATAAATGCACTGACCTATACTGTGCCCTTCAGTCAAATTGTATATTGTTTAATTGTGATAAATGAAGTGCACCAGGCACAGATAAGCTAGTCCCTGGAATATGTCCAGATACACCTGAAAGAAGAATGACTCAAGCTGGGTGTGTAAAGCTACACTTTGGAGGATAGAGCTTCCCACAGGTGCAATGGAACTCTCACTTCTCACTTGCTCAGAAATTATGATCTGCAGTGTGAGTCTCCCCTGGTAAGGAAACATGTCCAGCTCCTTGAAACATGTTCTAGAGAATAGCATTCATTACCCTCCCATGAACTTAAACATGCTTCTTGGCTCCTGTGCATTTTAGGTAAGTAAGCTTTGATTTCCCCAGGTGGTGTCGGTGTCTAGTCTTTTCATAAACTTGCACTTACTATTAACATGGAGAGGACATCCACAGGCCAAGACACATTGCCATGTCTTGCATTAGAAGCAAATGAACCTAAAGTTTTTTTGTAAACAACTTATGAAGTTTCATTTGATTTGATTTGATTTTTAATAATTCCCTGAAATGCTGTGATAATTAGAGTAGTGAATTCATTTCTGGTATGTTTTAAAAGTAATTCAAGGAAAATAATTTTGCAGAATCCTGATTTAGATAACATGAATAGTGAATAGGAAAATGATGAAATTGTTGCTGCTTTTTATAGAGGCTTAGAATCATGGAAATCATTTGCTTTAAGGTATAAAAGGGAATAATTTCATTTTCTACTTTTTACTTTAAATTTCTGTTATCTATGTCTACATGCTTCTGTCCATTTCTTCATAGTTTGTTTTTAAATAATATGCTTCTACCATTCTCTTAAAGCTATTTTAATTTTTTAGCTTGAATATAAATTGGTTGATACTGGCTGCAAATTATTTTTGGTATTCTAATTTGTCTATTTTTCTTTTTCTTGAAATGGAATAAATAAGCTTCACACACACACACACACACACACACACACACACACACAACCCTAAACAAAAAAAAAATCACACAGCACCAGCAAACTACTAGGATTTACTGTAGGATAAAAGCTCTACATGGCCCTGCATACAAACTTTCTGCATACTTCTGCAAATTTTTATGCATTACTCAATCCATTAAAAATCACCTTGGAAGAAATTGCAAACACAATAGAAACTAAATGAGATAGTCACAGAGAACAACAAAAATAGTAATTTAAGCTCCCATACAACATCAAGGGTGTTCAGTCTATTTTTGGTTCTTCGGGTTCTCTTTAAAATTGAATTGAGTTTGTATATGCATATGTATGTAGGAGTGGAGGATGGAATTAATTATCCCAAACATCCTACACTCACTCCTCTAATATTTATTTTGTTAACATGCAAATCTGTTCTCTTCATTACGGTGATACTGCATTTAAATTACAACACAATTAGAGATCATTAACTTTCTCCTTTATAATCAGCCATTTTCATAGGCCTTTGATATACAAGCACCTGTAATATATTCTTACCCATCTCACACTTTGATTTACCGAAGTGTCAAAACAACATTTTTACATCATTGATATTTGTTTTAGTTTCTGCAAGCTGGCTGTTAGAGGATGATTACTTCTCTTAAATTACCTCTTACCCTCATCTTGCTATCTTTTTAAAAGGAAAGAAAAAGCACTATAAAAATCAGACACTTTGGGTTCTGAACCTTTTATTTTGTGGGAAAAGATACTTATTTATGTATGCTAAATCACACTGATGCGGAAGACAAACTGGCTCTTCGTTATTTTTTTTTGGCACTTTATAGAGGAAATGTGTGGAGAACAGATCTTTCCTAAGGTATTATATTCATGTGCCTTAAAGATTAAGAATACTCAATGCGCCAAGAAGTGCTATATACCAGAAAAGTTTGTATCGATTAATGTATCTAAATTCAGTTAAAGTTTCTTTCAATTTAATGTGCTTGCAGATGTATAATTGCATGTTTAAGTTTTGCAGTTATGTACTAAATCTGGTGCTACACTTCTAATGTCTAAAGGTTTTATTCAGTTTCAATTTATTTGTTTTATAGTTTGCCAGAATGTGCTTATGAAAGGCACTCTCAGTCATAAAAATAAAATTATAAGCAGACTGGCACATAACTATTTTTTAAATAATAAACTTTCTGATTTTAGAGACTTGTATTCTTTTATAGGTCCTGGTTCTCTTTCACTCTCTGACCTATAAGAACCCATACAGCATGCGTTGCTGTGTATAGAAAAGCAGTAAAGGGAAGTACAGCCACCTTTTAGGTCCCATGAATAGCAAAATCTCTTTGACTAATCTCTTGTTTCAGGGTACGTCCACTCCTTGTTTAAAGAATGTAACTGGCTGGGCATGGTGGCTCACTCCTGTAATCCCAGCACTTTGGGAAGCCAAGGCGGGCAGATTACAAGGTCAGGAGTTTAAGACCAGCCTGGCCAATATGGTGAAACCCTGTCTCTACTAAAAATACAAAACCTAGTCGGCCGTGATGGTGGGTGCCTGTAGTCTCAGCTACTCAGGAGGCTGACTCAGGAGAATTGCTTGAACCCAGGAGGCAGAGGTTGCAGTGAGCCAAGATTGTGCCACTGCACTCCAGCCTAGGGGACAGAGTGAGACTCCATCTCAAAAAAAAAAGAATGTAACCACACTCAATAGTCACTAGCACATTGTTTTAAATAGACTATATACTGAAAGATATCTGCTGGATATAGAATGACCTCAGGAAAAAGTCTAGACACTATAATCCATCTCACTTGCCAGCATTTAGCGACCTTTCAGCTTCATTACTGACTTTCACCCAATGTCCCTTAGGTGAGTGACTTGAGTCCTCTTTCATAATATTTGGCAGGAGAAAAGATGAGGTCATTGCTCCATCAATCCCATCATGTCATGTCTGCTCATGTGTCATAGCTTATAAATAGTCACATGGTTCTGTCCAAGTGCAAGGGGGGCATTGCAGGTAGAGGTCCGTCTCCATGTGCCTTGAAAAGAAAATAACCAAATATCAGGGGAAAACAATAATATGAGCCATAGTGCCTGATATATACTATGACATTCATAGAGATTTAATGAGTATTAATCAGGATTCAATGGCTGCAGGAGACAAACAGTTTCACAAACGAGGGTAATTAACTGGCTCATAGGCAATATCTCAAGAAAGGTGGGGTATTGTTATACTTTATGTGTTGCAGAAACATAGATGCTCCAATTTTACATGTTCTTTCTGTGTATGTAACATTCTTTGCCTTCTGGGTCTCAGCTTTATCTCTCAGGTTGACGTCTGTCACAGCTGTAGAGATACTCACTGTCAATTCCTAGTTTCACAGTCTCCCATTTTCCAACGGAGTCTTACTCTTTCTTTGTTTCCAGTTCAAATATATTATTGAAGAATCCTGGTTCTTAATTTAGCTTCGGGACCTATTGAATCAGTCTGTGGAAGCTGGAACAATATGATTAGGGCAGCAGAAATGAAGAATGCTTCTTTAGACCAATCACTATGTCCATGAGGCAGACTAAGGACTACGTGACCCTAATAAATTCTAATTTCTAGAGCTTCTTATCTGGATCCTGAAGCAGTTTCGGCCTTTATACTATGGGAGACTGAATACACTAACAGACAATGGTGGTTCCACACACAGAAAATCAACTCTGACCTCTGCAGCAACCAGTCTGCAGCGATCGGTCCAAATGCTCAGGAATTGGTGGGTAACTGCCAGCTTCCCTAAGTGTTTCCCTCCAGCTTCCAATTTAGAACCAACCAGAGAATGCTAATTATGCAGCTTCACCCATCAAATAGGATGTTTTGCTTCTAGTTATCCAACCTTTAGATTCCCCATGACAATAATTTCCAACCAGGGCATTCCTGTAGCCTTCTGGTTTTCCCACGATAAAGCTTTCTCACTGCCTGCCTGCCTTTGATTCATTGCCATATTGCAAGTGATGGTGGCCAACTCCCTGGCTACAGCAAGCTCTGACTGAATAACCTGTATTTCTTTTCATTTGAGCAGTCTTAGCTTATTTTTATAACTATTAAGGAAACGTTGCAGCAACCCTTACACTAAATGAACTTAATTATGCCAAACCTTTACTTACTACTTAAACAAATACTCTTCCAGACAATGTTACCAAACAGTGTCCCCTTTGTTGTGAAATCTTGTAGATACTGTTTAATTAGTAGAATCCTCTTACTTTCTTTTCCCTGTCAGTTTTACAGTATCCAACTGGTCCCGTGTATGATAGAAAACATTTCTATAAGGTAACACAGTATATTTCAACACACACTATTACTATTGATGAGATTACTTTGCTATTCACATCTCATAACATTAGCAAAAATGCACAAATCTTAAGCTGCCTTCTTTTTCCCCTCCAGGATGAAGGACAACCACATATTTAGCTGACAGTGATTCAAACTCTCATCTCGTCCAAAACTGACTTAAATGGCATAACTTTAATTAACTCTGATCTTAAATTATCTGTTGACAGTTTTCACCTAGAATAGAGAAAATTAACCTTGTTTTGGATATTCTCTTATCTCTGAAGACTCCATCTGCCTGGGTTGCTGAATCAATTTTTGTAACTGGAACTCACAATCCAGCCTGAGGCAAAAAGTGAAGAGCATATAAGAGAGAGAACATTTATGTAGATAGTAGACAAGCACTAGAAATTGTGCATGATTCTGGAATGAAGGGCTCTTAGGTTCATTTTCGACTCTTAGCTGCAAGTATAGAAATTACAAAGGAAGTTAATGTTTTATCTGACTCCTTAAGAAATTATAAGTTAATTTAAACATATCTACTCCAGTGAAATAGAAATGAAATCTAAAGTTAATTCTCAGGCATATTGCTTTGCAAGAAATGCTTCTCTTCATAGAAAGCTGCCCAAGTAAACAAAATACTCCCTTACTGTAAACATTTATTCCTCTTTATGAAAAGTTACTTGTAAAAGAATTTTAACTAGGTATTGAGATTTATTTGACAGTTCAGTGATAGCCACTTGGTGGCTCCTAAATCCGTACAAATAACATCAGCAATCACACTGTGTGGATCTACCTAAAATACTAAAGGTAACTCAGAATCAGTGTTACTAAGATATCGTGGATGAGTTTGTCTAGAGAAGAGCAAGCATGCCTTATCTGGAAATTCTGTAACCACCACAATGCTGATTAATCTGTAAAAGTGGGTCAAAACTTTCAACCACTATCACAGGCACTTTAACCCCCTATAAATGGACATTGTACAAATACCTTAGTCCCAAGGAAACCAATATGTCCTGGAGATTGTTTGTGAATGTCCCTGGTGGAGCAAAGCCTAAGTATAAAAATCTTTTTGGTGTGTTTTCCCCACCTGGGATCTCCTGTCAACGCTGTCAACTGAAGGAAGGGCTCATTTTACAAGGAAGTGTTTTTGATGATTTTGCATGGTTGTCCTTATCTCTAAAGCGTAATTATGCTTAGAATCTGAAAAGTATATAAAAGATAGAGATATTAAGTTGTTTGTTAAAAATAAGTAATCTGAATGTTCAGAATGACTTCATCTCCCTTGTTCTATAGTGCTTCTTTCAGTGTTACTAGCCATGTGATCCTCAGCTTTAAATCTTACAGGCTTTTTCTTGTGAAGTGGTAACTGTAAGAACCATGAACTTGGATCTAGTTACTACATTCGCCAATTCTTCATTTTGTGGTAGTTGTTGTTATTTTTCTTTATGAGACAGGGTCTTGCTCTGTTGCCCAGGCTGATGTACAGTGGCATGATCACGGCTCATTGCAGCCTTGAACTCCTGGGCTCAAGCAATCCTCCAACCTCAGCCTTCTGAGTAGATGGAACTACAGGCATGCACCACCATACCTCACCATTTTCTTTTTTTGTATATATACATTTTTTTTCGGTAGAGAATCAGTTCTTCATTATTAAGTTCATAAAATACCAGCCAGAGGCCAGGCGCAGTGGCTCACGCCTATAATCACAGCATTTTGGGAGGCTGAGGCAGATGGATCACTTGAGGCCAGGAGTTCAAGACCAACCTAGACAACATGGTAAAATCCTGTCTCTACTAAAAATACAAAAAAATTACAAAAAATTAGCCAGGCATGGTAGTGCCTGCCTGTAGTCCCAGCTACTTGGGTGGCTGGGGCATGAGAATTGCCTGAACCCAGAAGTCAGAGGTTGCAGTGAGCCGGGATCATGTCACTGCACTCCAGCCTGGATGATAGAGAGAGAAGCTCTCAAAAAAATAAAAATAAAAATACAGCCAGAGATCGATTTAACTGTTAACTATTGTTTGATGTAATTAGCTACATACCTATCATATAATTAAAATTCAGTATTGAGATGGTTGTCATAGGGACACTTCAAACCAGATTAAGTTTATTTTAAAAGTGAATTGAGAGATTTTACTTTACAAAAAAAAAAACCAATTTGGTTAGTTTGCCATTTAGGCTTCTAATTTTGATCTGAGGCCTGCTAACCCTGGAGAGTACACAAAGACTTTGTGAGGCGTACTGTGGCCAGGCAAAGACTTTTAAAGAACAGGTTTCCAGGTGTCACATTCGAATACTTCTTTCATCATTCTTGCTGTCCCTCTTTCATTTCTTCTTTTTCAAAAGAATTCTTCTCCGACAATGTTTCTTTTTTTAAAAGAGAAAAATATTTCTCCACTTTTTTTAACTTTACCTTGGTGCTTTGTCCCCAGGTGTTGAAATTTCCAGGATGCAAAACGAAGGGGCAATTCAAAACATTCATCTCCACTTCTCAAAAGTAAGTCACCTTGATGACTGGGTAACAAAATCTTGCTAATCATTTGTGTTTTTTGTTTTGTTTTGTTTTGTTTTAGATTTTTAATTACTTTTAAAAATTTGAAGAAATACCTAGTTGAATTGTCAATGGACACCTGCAATTTTTGTTGTCATTCTTCAAAGGAGTTCAAAGAATCAAATGTCATTGTTATAACAAAGCCCTTCCAATCCTATCCACTTATTTCTGAGAACAAGATTTCTCAGTTCTTAGATCTTATAAAAATAATGATATAGGAATAAGAATGATGTGGAACCTGCCACCTTCTAGCAATAAAAAAGATTCATTTATAAAAACATGAATTTATAGGCAAAACATTAGGAGGTAAATTTCAAAAAATGCTTTTGAAAATAATTGAATTTTAAAATCTGTCACGTTTATGTTTTAATTCAACTTTTAATAATGTAATTCAAAAGAACTGTAAAGCAACAAAAATTAAATATAAATTTACTTTTGTAATCCATATAATTAATAAATTATCTTTACGTACTAAAACAGTAAATTATACTGATAAACATTTTGTTTCGAAAGTAGAAATGAAATTCAAGTCAAGAAAACAAGATTTTTAAATGTAAAATTTCTGACCGTAAAAGAAGCACTTCTTCCTTCCTTTTCAAAATGAATAATATTGAATATAAATTAACTATAATTTCTAGATTTCTTTAGAAATATTTAAAAGTGTCATAGTAGTATTATTTTAAAATTTTAACATTTTTAATTTACTGGGAATTGCAACTACTTAAACCCATGATGAATATAATTTAGCTACCAAGATAAATATATGTAAATATATATATTAAAAATTACCTTAGTGATACAAGAGAAAAAAATGTTTGAAAATGACTTTTGAATCTATGGGAGTGGGGGAAGACTTTTCTGTATTACTAAAAGGTAGATACCCTTTCTGCCTTCCTGGTTGTTAGAGTAACTTTTCCTCAAGAAATCATGTATTTGCATATATTTTTGTCTAAATCCTTTATTTGTTCCATTAATATACATGTGACCCTTTTTTAAAACCGAAATGAGGTTATTGACAGAGTCATAACACAGCAATGTTTTGTTCTCAAGGTCCTCAGAGCCATCATTTTGAAATATTAACATCAAGAAAGATAGCACCCCCACTCATTTCCCTGTCATTGTTTGAGTTTAGCCAAGCTACCTTGATAGATATTTTATTTTTCCTCTGAATAAAGCAAATAAGTAGGTCAGATGGGTACTCTGATTACCACATACATTTAGGATGGAGTAAGAAAGAATGTATAGCAAATGGACTGTCGGGTCCTCTTACTAGGAGGACAAGTTGTCATTAATGTTGAGAATGTGCATGTAGTCCCCTCGAGGTGGATCACACCTATAAACTCAGCACTTTGGAAGGCCAAGGTTAGAGGATCGCTTGAGGCAAGGGGCTTGAGACTCATCTGGGTAAATTAGCAAGACTCAGGACTCAGTCTCCACAAAAAACAATTAAAAATAATTAGCTGGATATGGTGGCGCATACCTGTAGTCCCAGCTACTTAGGAGGCTTAGTCAGGATGATTGCTTGAGCCAAGGAGGTCAAGGCTGCAGTGAGCCAAGATCGTGCAACTGCATTCAAGCCTGGGCAACAGAATGAGACCCTGTCTCTATAAAAAGTGAAAAAGAGGCCGGGCGCGGTGGCTCACGCCTGTAAACCCAGCACTTTGCGGGGCTGAGAGGGGCGGATCACGAGGTCAGGAGATGGAGACCACCCTGGCCAACAAGGTGAAACCCCGTCTCTACTGAAAATACAAGAAAATTAGCCAGGCGTGGTGGGTGGTGCCTATAGTCCTAGCTACTCAGGAGGCTGAGGCAGGAGAATGGGTGAACCCGGGACAGGGAGCTTGTAGTGAGCCGAGATCACGCCACTGCACTCCAGCCTGGGCGACAGAGTGAGACTCCATTAAAGAAAAAAAAAAAAGTAAAAAAGAGAGAGCAAGAGAATGTGCAAGTAATTATTATATCTTCTTGGCTATATAGAAAGGTGAGGGTTCCTTCCTTCTGTCTTTGCAATCTCATTAGTGGATTGCCTGTCATGCACATCACACTTTGGTTAAATCCTTATTCAACAATAAAACTACAATAAAATGGAGATAATTTTTTTTTCCTTTTCGACATTTGAGAGAGGATTTTCTGACTTGGTAAGAGAGTTTATTCTTAATATTTCCCCCAATACCTATGGAATGTAGAGAGATCTTTGGGAATGAATGCAATAATGTACAGGAAGATTCAGAAGGAAGATAGGGAAATGACTGTCTCATTACAGCTAGCGGAAAGTCTTGATTTCTTTGAAACTTTTAAGAGAACACCCGGAAAGTGAAAGTTTGAAAAGGATACTTTTAGGCCTCCTAATCTCAGTCTCTGAATGTCTAAGAAATTAAAATCCTTCTTATGGAAGTAGAGACAAATAGTAATTTACATTGCTAAAGCCCTGGGATGTGGAGATCTTCCCACCACCATTATCCCAAATCTAGGTATGCTATCTGAGATGCAAATTAATATGAATGACACATAGGCAGTGCAGGATGCTTTGGGTTCATTGAAGGAAGTAATACATTATTACAAATTTAGATCATTTGGCAAGAATGACATTTTAACAAACATGTCTTTAGAAAAGCCACTTGGAATTTGGATAGAGCATACTGTTAGTAAATAAGAGACCTAGATGTTATCACAACCACTGGAGAGTTAAGAAAGAAAAAAACATCATTGAGGCCAATTTCTGTGGTTAATTGTCTAAATACTTCATAAAAAGGTTTTCAACAAATAAACTGAAGAGGAGTGAAGGTCAGATTCCTGAATAGCCAGAAGTTTGGTGAAAATATCCATATGCTTACACATAGATTAGACCAAGCATTGCAGAGAAGATGCATATCAGTATCCAACCAAATATCCTTCTATCACCTCATGTAAGGGATACTGAGATGAAAGGTTTTATTATTATTATTTTTGTAAACAGGGAGTGCACACTAGAGAAAAAATATGGCAGGATAATTGATTGAGTCAATAACCATGACTGTCATGACTGTCCCCAGCTCCAGTGAATGAGAGATGGTATTTGCCAAAGAATGAGAAGTGATATTACCTCCCCCTTCCAGAAGGATGGTCAGGGATTTGTGTCCTAGAAATGGGAGCCTAATTTTCCCTGCTAGGGGAAAACAAAAGGCTTTTGAAAGCAATCAGGATAATGCAGCTTTGGAGATAGCTTTGAGATGCATGTAGTCTTATAGGGCTAAAGGAGCAGAGAAGCTTGATATGGAGGATAAGGAGTTAAGTAGTCACAGAGGAGTGTGGGTCTTTTCTCACTACTCCACTTAGCACCCCAAAGGCTGCAAGATGTCCAGAAGATTTGCCTATAGAAACTTGCCAGTGGAGCTTTCAGGGGCCAGGCTTTGGGTGCTACAAAGAAATCTGACTGTGGTAATAACTGTGCATAGGCCTTGTATTCTGAACCTGTTTCCTTTTGAATAGCTCAGAAAGACTGTATGGTGGCCATCTTAGGGATGGTGGCAATAGTTTAGAAAGGCTTTCTCCATTTGTCTGAATTACAAAACTTCTGAAACTTTTTACAATATTAGGGAAGGAGAGCAGGCTTCAAAATAACAGATCTAATTTCTTCCAAAAATAATTCCGGTAGGGAGAGAACCACATTTAATTTTATTTAACATAATAAACAAATGTGACATTTTTGCATTAAGAAACTTCATAACTCTTAATAATAGAGTTGCTAGCTTTTCAGTAGCAAACTTGCTCAGTATTGATGGCTGCATATGCATCTACTTGGCCAATTTCAGTAATCGATAATTATGAAGCCTGGCAAATGATGAGAGCTCCTAACTGGAGATGAGGGGGAAAGAATCTGAGTGTCATCACTGTAGAGATCATCTTCGGGCATCTTTTTATGGGGGCCCTCCTCCTTCTTAAAAACCTCATTTTCTTTCTTAAGTGGTTAAATGGGCCGTGGTTTTATTTTCAAATGCCTTCTTGTCTGTAGTTCTATATTTGATATTTCTAAAAATTATCTCATTGACTAAGAATATTTGACAGCAGAAAGCTTTTCCTGTGTCTATTCTTATTTAATATAGCTGTCTGGAAGGATGAATTATTATTTTCAGGAAGTGAAAAATTGGATATGGATTTATACACTTATATATCACTACATTAATGTATGGAGAAAGCAAAGTGGCACAGTACAAAGAGTGTGGACTTTGGATATAAGCAGTATTAGAGTTTGATCCTGATTCTGTCACCTTCATTGAACCGTTTTCTTTAGATTATTTGACTAATTGCTATGTAACTAGAACGTTATAATTTTAAAATTACTATTAAATAGAGTACTTTATGAAGATTAGGTGGAATAATTTATGAATATATATATATTTTTGACAATAGGTTGTCAAAGTAATAGGAATTAATATTAAATGTAACAGTTTTAAAATGTTGATTATTTTACATTAATAATAAATTGATAGAAAATAAATTCTTCCAAATTATAAGAAATAACATAGTGGAATAGTTTCTGTGGGAATGGTACCAGCTCTTCTTTTTATATATGGTAGAATTTGGCTGTGAATCCATCAGGTCCCGGCCTTTTTTTGGTTGGTAGACTATTTATTACTGATTCCATTTTGGAGATCATTATTGATGTGTTCAGAGAATCAATTTCTTCCAGGCTCAGGCTTAAGAGGGTGCATGTTTCTAGAAATGTATCTGTCTTTTCTAGGTTTCCTAGTTTGTGTGCATAAAGGTGTTTGCAGCAGTTTCTGATGGTTGTTTTTATTTCTATAGGGTCAGCAGTAACATTCCCTTCGTCATTTCTAATTGTGTTTATTTGGATCATCTCTCTTTTCTTCTTTATTAGTTTAGCTAGTGGCCTGTTTTATAATTTTTTTCAAAAAACCAACTCTTGGATTCATTGATCTTTTGAATGGTTTTTCATTTCTCAATTTCCTTCAGTCCAACTCTGAGTTTTGTTATTTCTCATCTTCTGATAGCTTTGGGGTTGGTTTGTCCTTTCTTCTCCAATTCTTTCCGTTGTGAAGTTAGGTTGTTAATTTGAGATATTTCCAAATGTTTGATGGTGGCAGTGCTATGAATTTCCCTCATAAAACTGCCTTAGCAGTTTCCCAGAAATTCTGGTATGTTGTATCTTTGGTCTCCTTAGTTTCAAAGAACTTCTTGATTTCTGCTTTAATTTCATTATTTATCTAAACATCATTCAGAAGGATATTGTTTAATATCTATGTAATTGCATGGTTTTGAGCAATTTTCATAGTCTTGACTTACATTTTTATTGCTCTGTGGTTTGGGAGTATGTTTGGTATGATTTTGGTTCTTTCATATTTGTCAAAGATTGTTTTATGTCCAATTATGTGGTCAATTTTAGAGTATGGGAGTATGTTTGGTATGATTTTGGTTCTTTCATATTTGTCAAAGATTGTTTTATGTCCAATTATGTGGTCAATTTTAGAGTACATGTCATGTGATGACGAGAAGAATGTATATTCTGTTGTTTTGGGGTGGAGAATTCTGTAAAGGTCTATCAGATCCATTTGGTCCAATGTTGAGTTCAGGTCCTGAATATCTTTGTTAACTTTCTGCCTTGATGATCTGTCTAATGTTGTAAGTAGAGTGTTGAAGTCTCCCACTATTATTTTGTGGGAGTCTGTGTCCTTTGTAGGTCTCTAAGAACTTGCTTTATGAATCTGGGTGCTTCTTCCTTCCTTTCTTCCTTCCTTCCCTCCCTCCTTTTCTCTCAATACCCCTTCTTCCTTCTCATAAGGCTGTAATCAGTGCTTTCTTTGGCTGGCATAGGTGCTTATCTGGAGGCTCTGAGGAGAAATCTCCTAGGCTCATTCTGATTGTTGGAAACATTAAATTATTTCTCATGTGTTTTCCAGGTAGTCTCTTACGTCAAGATTGCCATACAAATCAAATATTTCTCATATTTCTGAGCTCTGACTTCCCTTTCTGCCTTGTTTCTCTGACTTGGGCACCTCTGCCTTCAGCTCTTTTGCTTTTAAGAGTTCATGTGATTATAGTGGGAATATCTGAATAGTTGAAGATAATTTTCCTATTTTAATGTCATCTGTAAAGTTTTTTTCTGTTTTGGTTGTTGTTGTTTGGTTGTTATTTGGCCATCCACAGGTTGAGCAAGAGTGGGTGAATGTGATAGGGGACAAAATTATGCCTATTGCAGCCGCTGAGACATTGTGTTTCATGCTTGAGTAATTCTTATCCATGCTGGACTAGCCCAACTCTCTGACCCAATCTCCCCCATACAAAAAAAAAAAAAAAAATACTCACCCTCTCACCCTGCCACCTACCACCACCAGGGGTAGGAACACTGTCAGTAGAGTCTTCATGCATGTCTTTTCCTTTGGTCCTACCTTCTTCCTTGGCGTTGGTGTACTGAAGAAAGGAATGCTTTTTTATATTCATCCTTACTCATTTTATCACAAAGATCACAGTTACCACCAGTAGTATATACTATATGCAGTGTACATTGAGAACAGCTGGCTTTGCAGAAGATGTCACAATCTAGTGAGACTATCTTTTGTGCAGTTGGGAAAAAAGCTAATGTTCACTATGTCAGAGCCTGTGCTGCATATTTATCAATAATCTGGCTATTAATTAGTAAATTAAGGATTCAAAATCAGGTTGACCTTGATAAAAATCAGGTCCTTCCTCTTGCATTTGATAACACAATTTTTATTAAATTATACTAAAATTGTGGGCAGTATCATGATTTCAGAAATTGCCATCATATGCGTATACTAGATTGTATCTAATGCTGTGTATTTGATGAAAGCTATGGCCTAGCAGATGTGAGATATAAAATAAAACAAACATGGATACTGAATAGATAAAACATTTATCAAGACCAACTCTTATAAAAATATTTATTTCATTTTTGTTTTCCATATTATAGTCATAGGTTAACTATCCAGTTGCTGATTTGTTTGATTTGTTTTATTCTATAGCACTTTGCATTCAATCGTTTGTAAGCAAGAATGCCTTATTACTATACAATGACGTCTTTGAAATTAGGAATTGGCCATTTTAAGTCGGGATTTCTACCTTGTAATTAGCACATTCATTGTGTTTATCTGAATGCCTGCAACTCATAAGGCATTTGTTCAACAACAAATATTTCTGAAAGTACAAATCATGTTTAGATCTCCATTAGATATCAAAATTTCTTGGATAAAAGTTATAATTTTTGCCTTCAAGGAACCCACACCCCTGTATTCAGACCCTCTTATAATGATTTATGAAGTACAAAGTGTGCGTGACAGTCATGAGAAATAAAACTACTGTGTTCTTTATGTCCGATGCCTGAGTGGTCTTTCTTATAGTGAGTTAGGTACTATAGCTTCCCAATGTAAGCCCTTTCAATGGCTTCTACCACTTACTGAAAACAATTATCCATGACCCTCATTCATTGATGCATTATTCATTCAGCAAGCATTCAAGCTCTGTTATGCCCCAAGAAATGTTCCTAATGATAAACACGGTTAATAAATTGTTTTAACTTTCCAGCTTATGGTACATGGGGCATAAATAGAAAGACAAGCAAATGTTTGAACAAGAAAATAAATAAATACACATACTTTGAAATATAATTGCATATAAATATTACAAACTCAATAAATATGTGTATATAGAAATTAATTTCTATATATTATACATACATAATAAATTAGTGCTAAGTACTCTGAAGAAAATTAAAAGTTGATAGGTAAGAAAGTTGGAAGAAGGAGTTGTTAGTTTGGCTACTCTGGACTGGAAAACAGGGAAGATCATTCTGAGAAAAGTATCCTTTAAGCTAAGATGTGATCCCAACATTCAAACTTCTAGTAGAATAAAGTTTCATATACATTACATGGTTCCATATAATGAAAGCAACATCCTTAGCAGAAAATGGGCTTATTTTCATGACAAGAATCGATGAACATTAAGTTTTCCTTAAAAGGCAGTGCCCACAGAGGGCAGTGGCCTGAGTTAAAGGCAAAAATATGTTTTTGTATTTGTTTATATATTCATTCCTCTGGAATGAGAAGTTCATGCAAGCAAGGATTTTGTCTTTTTCACTTACTGTTTCACACAGCTAGGACAGAGTAGAAACATGCATATTATAAAAACTAAGTAGACATTTGTTGACATAATAAATGAGTGGATTATAGTTTGGGGCAGTTAAATTTGCCAACACATTAGAAAAAATAGAAACAAAATATTAGTGTTGGCTATGTTTTCGGATAGTATTGAACACTTAGTCCCTAAGAGACAAAATTCCATCTCACCAAACTCTGCCTGAAAGTAAACATAAAAACTCAGTAGGCTGGGCACAGTGGCTAACGTCTGGAATCCCAGCACTTTAGGAGGCCAAGGCGGGCAGATCAGGAGGTCAGGAAATAGAGACCATCCTGGCCAACATGGTGAAACCCCGTCTCTACTAAAAATACAAAAATTAGCCGGGTGGGATGGTGCATTCAGGTAATCCCAGCTACTCAGGAGGCTGAGGCAGGAGAATGGTGTGAACCCGGGAGGCAGAGGTTGCAGTGAGCCAAGATCACGCCATTGCACTCCAGCCTGGACGACAGAGCGAGACTGCAGTCCTATTGAAATCATTAAGTTGTGGACAATTAAAAGAAAATGTAGTGTAATAACTAGATAAAGAATCAGAAAAGATGGGGGCCCATCTCCAATTCTCCTCTTCAGAAAAAGGGAAAAGATAGCTATAATATCTAAGAAATATCTAGTTGTTATTTCATGTAGCCCTGTTTTTAGCAATCAATAAATACTACCTTAGTCAGCATCAAACACACCTTTACCCAAATAAAACTCTAAATTGCTAATGACCAAAAAATTTCTAAATTTTACATTATTTTTAAAACTAGTAAATTGTAATTTAGGGATTGTTATTAAGGCAGAATCAGAAACACATGGGAAAGTAATTTACTTGAATCATGCAAGACCCAAGATTGCTGTTTTGGGAAATAAACACTTTTCTCGATGCCATTGAATAAAAATTTTAGAAAATAAATCATTAAAATTTTGTCTTGGGCCAGGTGAGGTGTCTCAAGCCTGTAATCCCAGAATTTTGGGAGGTGAATCCCTTCAGGCCAGGAGTTCAAGACCAGCTTGGCCAACATGGCAAAACCCTGTCTCTACTAAAAATTAAAAAAAAAAAAAAATAGCTGGGCATGGTGGTGAGCACGTGCAATGCCAGCGACCCAGGAGGCTGAGGCACAAGAATTGCTTGTACTCAGGATGCAGAGATTGCTGTGAGCCAACATAGTACCACCGCACTCCAGCCTAGGTGACAGAGTGAGACACTATTTCAAAAAAAAAAAATTGTGATATCAACTTTGAAATTTTTAATTATATGGATTAGATATTGAATTAAAATGTTTTAAAATTACTTTCAAAATTTAACTACATCTTATGTCTTAATTAGCATTAGAAATTAATTCTTATGAATGAGCCTTTTAATTTAATATTATCCATTGATGCATCTTATTTCTGTTATCCTGTTTCAGTTGTTACTTTTAGTCCGTCCAAGTAAACCTATAGGGACGTATATTGAAGGAAACGTAGTTTATTTCACTCAACCACTTTTTTTGTTGTTGTTGTTGTTTTTTTTTTTTTTTTTTTTGAGACAGAGTCTTGCTCTGTCACCCAGGCTGGAGTGCAGTGGCACGATCTCGGCTCACTGCAAGCTCCGCCTCCCGGGTTCACGCCATTCTCCTGCCTCAGCCTCCTGAGTAGCTGGGACTGCAGGCACCCGCCACCACGCCCAGCTAATTTTTCATATTTTTAGTAGAGACGGGGTTTCACCGTGTTAGCCAGGATGGTCTCGATCTCCTGACCTTGTGATCCGCCCGCCTCGGCCTCCCAAAGTGCTGGGATTACAGGCTTGAGCCACCGCACCCGACCTCAACCATTTTTTAAACACATTCTTTCTTACTTTTAGTTTCAACAAAAATAAAAGCGTAATATAATCTAGAATATCTTTTCTTATTTTACTTCACATTTATAATGTCTCTGGAAATTTGTAGTTTTATTTGTAGTCAAATGTTTTATTGTATTTGTCCAGATACACAGAGTCACATGGATGAAAGAACCCAAGAAATCAAATAGCATCTGGTGACATTCAACAGTCATAATTTAGTGCATTTTCAGAAGCTACCTAAGACTCAGATGTTCATATTGGATGTTATATTATATAAAATGAAATCTCAGCTGTTAGTCTTCTTCCTGAATACTAGGACAGATGGTCCCCAACTTATGATTTCTTGACTTTATGAGGGTATGAAAATGATAAGCATTCATTAGAAACCATACTTCAATACACTATTCAATAAATTACATGAGGTATTCAAATGTTAGATTATTTTGTCCAACTTTAGGCTAATGTAACTGTTCTGAGCATATTTATGGTAGGCTTGGTGAAGCTATGATATTCAGTAGATTAGGTGTATTAAATGCATTTTTGATTTCTGATATTTTTAATTTATGATGGGTTTATCAGCACGTTAACTTTGTTGTAAGTTAAGGAGCATCCGTATTAGGATGCAGACAATGATGGAGGTAATTACCCAAATGGATATTTACAGAAGCTTTAATTTGTGTCAAATTCCCTTTCAATAGTTTAGACAATTATAACCTGCTTAAGAACATACAGTCTGAATAAAAAGAGGTTTATATTTACATGATTTTATTTTAATGAAATGAATGAGTAAATAAATGCCATACCTGAAAATAATATGATAAATGTCAAACGTGAAAAGAGAATTAGTAGCTACTTTTTTCACAATTTGAAAGTGCAAACATTTTTCCAAATGTCATGCTCCTACACACAGGAAAATGAAAAACAGATTAACTTTTTAAAATTCCTGATATTTTAAAGCACCTATATTTAGTCAATAATAAATACATGGATTGATTATTTCTGAAGGTGTATTTCCAAAATGTATTCAGAGTCACAATACCTCAGAGATTTAATTTGACATGTATTTATATGGGTCCTTATAAAATTTAATTTAATGAAGAGTCTAAAGTAAATTTTAAACCTCTGATTATCATTCATAGTGATTGTTATTTCTAATGATAATTGCATGCATTATCATTAGAAAATCTGTTATATTCATGTAAACAGATAACTCAAAACTTTAAAATATTTGGTTAAATGAGACCTCAAAACAATGCTTTGAAGTAGACAGGGACAACATGCTTCAAATTAGTCAACCTGGAAAAAAAAAAAAAAGCCAGGAGTAGAAGTAAAATTCTAATCCAATATTCTTTCTGTTATTTTTTAAGTGTTTAATTGCTTGATTCATTTCTGAGGAC
Organism: Homo sapiens; assembly: GCF_000001405.40. Lineage (NCBI taxonomy): Eukaryota > Metazoa > Chordata > Mammalia > Primates > Hominidae > Homo > Homo sapiens. Next base: position 21,260,311 of record NC_000005.10, on the reverse strand, counting down.
AAGTTAGTTAGATGTTCTCTTGGGCTTCAAGGGAATACATATAGCTGATTTACACATGAACATCTATAGAAATTGTTCTATAACCAAAAAACATGCAAATTACCCAGAATTTGCTAAGTGTGTATTTCCTTTCAGTCTTGTTTCCTCTCACCTTGGTTTGTTGGAAAATGCTATGATCCAAATGTCCATGTCTTCCCAAATTTCATATTTCAAATTTCTAATCCCCAAGGTAATGGTATTAGGAGACAGGGCCTTTGGAAGGTAATTTGTTCATGGGATTGGGTCCTGGGATTAGTGTCCTCATTCAAAAGGTGCAAGGGAACAGAACTTGCCTATTCCATCATATGGCAAAATAGCAGAAAGGTGCCATCTGTGAACCAGGAAATAGATCCTTACCAGACATCAAATCTGCTGGTGCCTTGATATTGGATTTGGTGCCTACAGAACTGTGAGAAGTAAATTCCTGTGTTTATAAGCTATCCAGGTGATGGTATTTTTATTACACGCTCTAAGACCACAACTTGGACAACAATTTCAGCAAAATTACAGCTGAAATATAAATAAAAAATTTGTAAAGTTGGAATAAATAAGTACATTTTGATATTTTTTAAGAAAATTATAGAGAAGAAAAAAAAGTGGGCTGTATCAAAAGGGCACTTTCTAGAATGGGCATGGTACACATATATAAAGAATGAATAGTAGTTTTTTTCAAAAGGGGGAAGGAAATGCAAAAGAGGAAAATAAAAAACACTGGGTCAGTTTTTATGACAGAATTTGTAGAATGTCATAGATTTAAGGAAAAAGAAAATCGGAGTTATAATTAGAGTAGAGAAAAAAATCAGATGAATCTCCAAGCCAGTATTAAACTGGTAGACTCACCAGGGTATGAGCTTAAGTGTAGTCACCACTTGGAGAGGATTGAATAAAAAATAAAATTAAATAAATAAATACATCAAATCTGGACATTTGATTAAGGCATTTACATTTATGTCAACAGGGGATGCTTTCTTAGAGGGCTCAAGGCAGAAAAGAGCATGAAATAATATAAATTTAGTAATAAGGATATAAGTGCCATAGATGATGTGGTAGGAAGAACAATGGCCCCCCAAAGGTGTCGGTATCATAGTCCCAGGAACCTCTGAATATGATAGGTTACACTGCAAAGAGGAGTAAGGTGAAAGTTTGCTGATCAGCTAACTTTGAGATGGGAAGATTATCCTGGATTTTCTGGGTGGACTCAATGTAATCATAAGCCTCCTTCTAAGTGGGAAAAGGAGAGAAACAGAAATAGGCAGAGAGGGATTTGGAGATGTTGCTCTGCTGGTTTTGAAGACAGGAAGGTGCAATAAGCCAAGGACTTCAGGCAGCCTCTAATAGCTGGAAAACATAAGAAAACAGATTTTCCTACAGGCACAGAGAGAATTCAGTCTTGCATACACCCTGATTTTTAGCTTAGAAAGATGCATTTGAGCTTCTGAATGCCAAAACTGGAAGACAGTAAATTTGTATTGCTTTTTGGCACAAATGTTGTGGTAGTTTCTTAAAACGGTTAATATTAGAACTATGAGAAATTTGAGTACCAAGAGTATATTTATTATTTTCTCTCCTGTTATGTGAAAAACCTTATGAAGTAAATAAGTTCTACTTGATTGATTATAATTGTATCTCCATCATCAAAACACTGTATTAGTTTTCTATTGCAAGAAACTGGCTTACATGATTGTGAGGAATGATGAGTCAAGAATTTTTAGTGCAGGCCTTCAGGAAGGATAGACTGGAATGCTTAGGCATGAGTTGAAGCTGATGTCTACAGATTATATTTCTTCTTAATTAGGAAAGCCTCACATCTGCTGTTAAGGTCTTTCAACTGATTGAAACAAGACCTCTGGTAGCTAGGACAATTTTTTCTCATTTAAAGTCAGTTGATTATATACTTCAATCGTATCCAAAAATAATGTTCACAGAAGTAACTAAATTCGTGTTTGGTTGAACAACTGGAGACTGTAGCTGAGCCATGTTAACATATCAAAGGAGCATACCTGTGGTGTAGCAAGATTTTGAATTTAAGGGAATGAAGTTGATAAAAATAAAATTAAATGAGCACAGAGGTGAATGTAATTAGCTATTAATTAAAACAGCAAATAATGTTTCCATCTTGGCTTTACAATGTAGAATGTAAGGGATGTACCCACTGAAGGAACAGTGTGTGCAAAGAGAAGTGTGTGCATAGACTTGTGGCGACAAAGAAGCTAACGCTCACAATTTATAAACTTAAATTTTCCTTCTCTAAAAACTGTGTTGAAAGAAGCCAAATGTGAGGGTGCCACATGAAAACATCAGAGTCTAAGTATTTATTTTTTATATGTGTAAACCATGGACCATTTCCAAAAACTTATTTCAGTGTACTCAAATGATCCTTAGATTGGAAAGATGAAACTTCATGACCTGAGAGGAGAGAAGTCATAATAGTCATAAACTGACAAGTTTCAGAAAGACTATTTAAAGGGACATTGAAAACCGATACTTGAAGATCATAGATTTTAAGCAGAAAAAAACCATACGATGCATAAAAGCCTTATAAATTTTTCCTGAGGATTAAACACTGAAGATCTATTTAAGGATTAAACACTGAAGATCTATGTTTGCGGTAGTAAAACAAAAAGGATCTTTTTGCTGCCTGAGATGTAAAAGTTTAAAATATGTAGCATGTGTTTCTGCTGATTAGAGACTGATTTCCTATTCAGAACCCTTGAATCTCAGCAATGATCAATCTTGGTGCATCCTAGAGTGTTTGGGGGATGATAAATAAGGTCCAGTTTTTCTTTCTGGTCACTACTCTCATCATTACCCCAAATAATAAAGAAACATCTAGTGCAAATTAAAAAGAAACATCTGGTGAAAATGTCTAGTGAAAACAAGTAGACTAAGTCCTTCTTTTGTTTTTTTAATTTTTTTTATTTTTTTGAGACGGAGTCTCGCTCTCGTCGCCCAGGTTGGAGTGCAGTGGTGCGATCTCGGCTCACTGCAACCTCCGCCTCCCTGGTTCAAGGGATTCTCCTGCCTCAGCCTTCCAAGTAGCTGGGATTACAGGCACATGCCACCACTCCCAACTGATTTTTGTATTTTTAGTAGAGACAGGGTTTCCCCATGTTGGCCAGGCTGGTCCCAAACTCCTGACCTCAGGTGATCCACCTGCCTCAGCCTCCCAAAGTGCTGAGATTACAGGGGTGAGCCACTGTCCCCAGCCTTTAAGTCCTTATTTTCATTATCATAACTTGACAGAGGGCTCTGGGAATGAAAGCAATGTGTAGATGGCTGGACCTAAGAAAGATGAGGAGAAAGTAGTAAGACAAATGGATGTGGAGGCACATTCTTATATGATGGTTTTCTCCATGGCCTTAAATAATACTGAGGATTGATAATAAGGTGAAGGGTGTAAGCTGATGGCTTCTCACAGATAATCACTTCACTAAACATTGCCGCAATATTCTTTATATTGCTTTTGATATAACCAAACATGCCCTCATATGATAATTATCAACTTAGGTTTTAGACTTCTTGTGTGTTTTTGGTGATGCTTGATGTGAAAGGGAAAAAAATTAGAAATGATAGCCATTAGAGAAAGGTAATGCTGAATTAATCATATTGCGGGTGGTTTATGTGGTTGTTGACATTTTACCAATTTATGCATTTTCATCTGATGATATAATAAATTGTATAGATCTAGACGATGATGACTTTAGGCATGTTTAAAATTTAGTTTATGAAAATAGATGGAGTTTAAGATAAATGTGTAGTCTCTAGAAGCAGAATATTTAAATGACTATTATAGTAATGTAGCCCATAATATAAATTATATCATTTTGTTCAAGATAGCTAACATAGCTAGACCAGTTCCATTCCACAAAGAAGGCAAATAAATCCTTCTGATAGCCACAATGAGAATTTACTGGGTGATATTTGGGTTTGAAGATCATATAGTAATCTTCTGTATCTTCAAGATTCAGCATAATAAATAGTTGTCTGATTGTTGATGAATCTAAATCAAAAACATTAAATTACAAGATGATGTTTGTTTTGTTGAAAACTGTTTTTATAAAAGTAGGCTTGACCTAAGTCAGAATCAGCACTCTTGAGAAAAAAATGCAGGGATGGAGATGGCTTTTCTTGAGGTAAGTTGCAGTATGATGTCACCTGGAAAAGGCTATGAATTATTTATTTTGATTATGTAGTTCTGTCTTGTATCTGGATGGGAATTGGTAAAAAAGAAAATAAAAAAAAGAGAAAACACATATTTATATGTTGTAGTTATTGTATTATACTACAATGTTTCTCATTTTTCTTTTTTTTTTCTTTAAAAGAACATTGGGGCCACTTACAGAAAGTATATGTCCTTGTGAAACCTCATCAAATGTCTGGTCAGATGCAGACCTGATGTTAAACTACGAAATTTCAAAATCTCTAAAGTCTTATCCAAAGAAGATTTGGGATATGCCCCTTAATAATATAGGGTGAGATTATTTAAACTTATCTATATGGCTTCTCCAATTTCAACTCTTTTGGGAGTCCAACTGAACTCCCTTCTTTTGGGGGTTTGATTTATGCTAATCTCAGGTTAACAAGGTTGGGAGAAAGGCAGAAATTTTGTGAATAAAACAAATGTCGTAGAAAGAACCAATTTTTTACAGGAAAAAAAAACCCATGGGAAATATGTGGTCAATCTTCAAAGCAAAGCGTTTAGTTTTCTCATATACTTCTTCTATGACAGTCTGTTGAGGACTGTTTTCCATCTCATCTAGTCCATGCTCTGGATGGTAACCTTATCTTCATCCTCATGTACAATAGACCTGCTGAAATCTGAACAAGATAACTAAAAGCCTAGTATGATGATTGTGAAGAAATTAAGGGGAAGGAACTATAGTTTAAAAGGCTACTGGGATTTGGAAAAGGAGAAAAATGTAAATCATTCAAAGAGGGTGATCTCTTCTAATCAGGTGTGAAATATTTATACAATAGTAGCTGTTAGAGTTGTGTGCCTCAGGATGAATTTGGGCATGAGATAAGAAAGTCATAGGTCACCTATAATTACTTGACTCTTGTGGATTCTGGGTGTTTAGGAATGTATGACTTAATTGTGAAGAAAAAGACTATTATTATTATCACTTGGATAAAGACAGGATAGATTTTAAATTCTAACTCTGGCGTATGTTTGGTTTGTGATTCTCAAAATAGCACAAGTCTTCAACCTAGCTCTCCAAGCTAATATTTTCATCTTTATCACAAAGGTTATAATTCTTTCCCAAATGACTACTTTAATTAATTTAAGATTGTTTCTAAATAGAATTTGTCATTTAGAACATAAGGGAAAATTCATTTACACCAATGAGGAACTAGATATCTGATTTAACTGGTTTTAGTAAAGTATAAAAGTGAAGCAGTCTAGTTAAAATATGTAGAGATCCTATCAATTATTTTTATAGGTTTAATTGATATGTGCACTTTTAAATCCTTTACTTGAAGTGACTTCGACTCATGTGCTTCCAAAATTGGTCAGGGTTTAAGGGAGTATTACTAACAGAACACTTCATCTGCAAATTCTCAGCTGTAGTCCTGCGGTGGGAATTGAGGTGTAGGGTGAGAAGAGACTAGTTTTTCAGGGCACTTGCAAATGTTCCTACTTTATAATCATCAAGAACTTAATAATCTTTATTCCCTCTCTGCATTCATTTTTAAATGGTACCAAAAAAATCACCTCAAACAAGTAAACAGCATCCGAAAACCTAGCTTAGGTCCAGCAATAGAAAGTGGCATTCGAACAGTGGTGCCAGCTAATTTCACCTTTCATCTGAAGACTGAATACTACAAGCCCTGTTTCCAGCCCCTGTGGCAGATGGTCAGCAGTGGAGAAACTGTCCCAGTCAGCATATCTCCATCTTTAAATCCCCACATTCAAGTCACAGATGGCAGTGGGAATGCCACCTGGAGCATCCAAGCTCTGAAAACAGACCTCAGTCGACCTGAGACATGCTATTAAAAATATGCCTGCCTTGTTTATAAAAGCCAAACCAAAGCCTTGCCTGGGATCATCAGAACACTAAACAAAAAGTAGTGTCAAGTTTTAAACTGTACATTTGTAGAGTGAAGAATTATATGCATATGGTAAATTTAAATTTCTACTCCAACATACATAAAAATCACCATGAATATGAGAAAAAATAAGCAAAATTTTATTTATTTACTTTATTTATTTATTTATTGAAATGGAGTCTCACTCTGTCTCCCTGGCAGGCGTGCAATGGTGTGGTCTTGGCTCACTGCAACCTCTGCCTCCTGGGCTCAAGCAATTCTCCTGCCTCAGCCTCCTGAGTAGCTGGGACTACAGGCGCATGCCACCACACCCAGCTAATTTTTGTATTTTTAGTAGAAACAGGGTTTCGCCATGTTGGCCAGGCTGATTTCAAATTCCTCACCTTGTGATCTGCCTGCCTTGGCCTCCCAAAGTGCTGGGATTACAGGTGTGAGCCACCATGCCCAGCCAAAGTAAGCAAATTTTTAAATATCTTCTCTTTCTCTTGGAATTTACTAGCTCAAATTTTTACAGGCATAGGGAAATAAAAATTGTATCATACTACTCTCCTCCAAAATGTCTATTATTATTGTAATTATTATTAATGGGAGGTCACGCAGGATGGAACTGTCCTGCAAGCATGTTTTATTTGGTTTTCCAACAATGGTTAGAATTGGGTACCAGTATTTAAAAGTCAGGAAATATCCTCCTAAAAAATCCATTTCTGGTAACTGTGTCAAATTCCACACTAATCAGCCAGTTGGCTGGCCTGACCCCAGTGGAGATGCCTTCCCTAATTTGCCATGGTGCCAGACCTTTCCTGTTTTATTACACCTGGGCTGCCTCACTTATAAATGGCACTCAGCTGAGCTCTAGTTCAGTACATTTGAAACACAGGGTTCTCAAACTTTAAGGTGTATCTTAAGGTGTGATCACCTAGATGGCTGGCTGAAACAGATTCCTTCCCCCATCCCCAATTGCTGAGTCAGTATTGCCTTGAAGCTCACAAATTTGCATTTCTAAAAAGTTTCCAGTTGACGCTGATGCTGCTTCTCTAGACACCACACTTGGTGAGCTAATACTTTAAAATTGAATTTCATATACTATAAAAAGTTTTTAGCCCAATATCACATTTTATGGAGCATAGGAGAAGAGAGAGTTCCCTCAAGTACCTTTATCTTCATTAGTGAGTATATCTATTTGCTAGGGCTGCCATAACAAACCACCACAGACTGGGTGGCTTTAACAGCAGAAATTTATTTTCATCCCAGTTCTGGAGGCTGGAAGTCAGAGATGAGAGTTTGGTAGGGTTGGGCTCTTTTGAAATCTCTCTTCTTGGCTTGAAGATGGCCACTTTCTTGCTGCCTCTTCACGTGCTCATCCCTGGGTTCAGGCCCTCTCAGTGTTTCTTCCTCTTGTTATAAAGGATGCCAGTAATCTTGGATTAAGCTTTTACCCTAGGGGCCTTATTTTAACAGAATCACCCTTTAAGGACCTTGTCTGCAAATATGGCTGCATTCTGAGGTACTGTGGGGTGGGACTTCAACATATGCATTTTGGGAGGATACAGTTTATCCCGTAATGTTGAGGTGAAACGATTAATAGGAAGTAGAAGTGTAAAATAAAACTATAGCTGTTTTTTTTTTGGAGGGGGAGTTATTAACAAACATTTATTAAAATTTGATTCTGTTTTAGTTAATCACATATTGAACATTTCTAAAAATTAAAGGTCTTTGAAATATCAAATGAGCAGAAGCCCTCAGGTTCCCCATAATTCCTTGTATCCTTTTTCTTAAGAAACTACATTATTATATTTAAGAAATGAAAGGTTTTAAACTCACTACTTGTTAATTTGAAGTCTACATTTGTTGTTTTCTATTTACACAATAATGTTTTTATTGTTTTTTAAATTTTTATTTTATTGACAAATAATACTTGTATATATTTATGGGTTACAATGTGATGTTATCATATAGGTATAAAAATGAAATACTTGGCCGGGTGCAGTGGCTCACACCTGTAATCCCAGCACTTTGGGAGGCTGAGGTGGGTGGATCACTGAGGTCAGGAGTTCAAGACCAGCCTGGCCAATGTGATGAAATCCCATCTGTACTAAAAAAAAAAATTGGGGAAAACCACCCCCGATATTTCAATGTAGGTTCTTTTCTATTTTCCCTAAGTGTTGGCTGGTCTAAGAAATAAAGGGAAAGAGTACAAAAGAGAGAGATTTTAAAGCTGGGTGTCTGGGGGAGACAGCACATGTTGGCAGGTTCTGTGATGCTCCTGAGCCATAAAACCAGCAAGTTTTTATTAGCAATTTTCAAAGGGGAGGGAGTGTACGAATAGGGTGTCAGTCACAGAGATCACATGCTTCAAGGGCAACAAAAGATCACAAGGCAGAAGGTCAGGGAGAGATCACAATGTCAGGGTGAAACTAGAGTTACTAATAAACTTCCATGTCCCGCTGTGCACGCATTGCCATTGGTAAACATCTTTACAGGGTTCAAGAGCAGAGAACCGGTCTGACTAGAATTTGCCAGGCTGGAATTTCTGAATCCTAGCAAGCTTGGGGGTGCTGCAGGAGACTAGGGTGTGTTTCATTCCTATCTACAACTGCATAAGGCAGACACTCGCAGAGCGGCCATTTTAGAGGCTCCCCCTGGAAATGCATTCTTTTCCCAGGGCTGTTAATTATTAATATTCCTTACTGGGGAAATAATTCCGTGGTATTTCTCTTACCCGTTTTTGGTAATAAGAGAAATATGGCTGTGTCCTGCCTGGCTCCCAGGCAGTCAGACCTAATGGTTATCTCCCTTGTTCCCTGAACATCGCTGTTATCCTGTTCTTTTTTCAAGGTGCCCAGATTTCATATTGTTTAAACACACATGCTTTACGAATAATTTGTGCAGTTAACACAATCATCACAGGGTCCTGAGGCGACATACATCCTCAGTTTACGAAGATGATGGGATTAAGAGATTAAAGTGAAGACAGGCATAGGAAATCACAAGAGTATTGATTGGGGAAGTGATAAATGTCCATGAAATCTTCACAATTTATGTTCAGAGATTGCAGTAAAGACAGACGTAAAAAATTATAAAAGTATTAATTTGAGGAACTAATAAATGTCCACGAAATCTTCACAATTTATGTTCTTCTGCCATGGCTTCAGCCAGTCACTCTGTTGGGGGTCCCTGACTTCCCGCAACAAAAAAATACAAAAAATTAGCCAGGTGTGGTGGTAGGCACCTGAATTCCAGCTACTCGGGAGCCTGAGGCAGGAGAATCGCTTGAACGTGGGAGGCAGAAGTTGTAGTGAGCCGAGATCACACAACTGCACTCCAGCCTGGGCAACAGCAGCAAAACTCCATCTCAATAAATAAAAAAATAAAATAAAATACTTAGGAGTAAATTTATTCAATGAGATAAGAAAATCTGTATACAGAAAACTGTTGAACACTGATAAAAGAAATTTAAAATGAATGAATAGAAAGATATCCTGAATTCTTGCATTTGGAAGAACTAATATTGTTTAAATGTTCATACCACCCAAAGTGATCTGTAGATTCAATGCAATCCCCATCAAAATTCCAATGTCATTCTTCTCAGAAATGGAAAAAAAAATCCTAAAATTCATATAGAGCCACAAAAGACCCCGATTAGCTAAAAAGAACAAATAACAAAAGAAACGAAGCTGGAGGTATCACCCTACCTGATTTCAAAATGTACTACAAAGCTATAGTAATTAAAACAACATGGTGTTTTAGCTGATTTTTATACAGATTTTAGGCTTGCTTAGCCACATCCTCTGAGGAACTGGAAATTCTATCTAGGTATCTAGCTAGTGTTTGAGAAAGTTATGACAAGCTAGTAGTGATTGTTGCTATATGCTGTGATTCAATTTTCTTAGAAAATCCTCTCCTTTTTGAATGCCCAACTATTCAGATACATAAAAAAGAATTAGATTCTCTCATTTGCAAGAACATGGATGGAACTGTAGGTCATTATGTTAAGTGAAATAAGCCAGGCACAGAAAGACAAACATTGCATGTTCTCATTTATTTGTGGGATCTAAAAATCAAAACAATTGAACTCACGGAGAATAGAAAGTAGAAAGATGGCTCACGCCTGTAATCCCAGCACTTTGGGAGGCCAAGATGGGCAGATCACGAGGTCAGGAGTTCAAGACAAGCCTGACCAAAATGGTGAAACCCTGTCTCTACTAAAAATACAAAAATTAGCTGGGCGTGGTGGTGCATGCCTGTAATCCCAGCTACTCAGTAGGCTAAGGCAGGAGAATTGCTTGAACCCAGGAGGCGGAGGTTGCAGTGAGCCGAGATCGTGCCATTGCACTCCAGCCTGGGCAACAGAGTGAGACTCCATCCCAAAAAAAAAGAAAGAAAGAAAGACAGTAGAAGGATGGTTACCAGAGACTGGGAAGGGTAGTGGGGGATTTGGGGCAGGGGATTGTGGGGGCAGGGGATGGTTAATGAACCCAAAAATAAATAGTAAGAATGAATAAGACCTAGTATTTGATAGCACAGCAGGGGGGCTATAGTCAATAATAAATTAATTGTACATTTTAAAATAACTAAAAGAGTATAATCAAATTGTATGTAACACAAAAGACAAATGCTTGAGGGGATAAATACCAAATTACTCCTGATGTGTTATTATTTTATTCATTGCATGCTTATACCAAAATATCTCATGTACTCCATAAATATGCACACCTACTATGTACCCACGAAAATAAAAAATAAATAAATAATACAGTAAACTATAAAAAAGAGTTTGCATAATTATTCACCATATTCTTCATTAATTCTTAGAAGTGGTAAATTTTGATTAAGATTATGTATATTATATTTCCTTTCAATCACCACACTTCCATGTAAATAAGTTATAACAGCTTTGAATCTCATCAAGAGAAAATGAAGAATGATATAAATTCTTTATTTAGGATGGATTTAATAATTTTTTCTTTTTTAGTTATATAATATATGATAAATACGTGCACTATGTCAAAACATTTAAGTAATACTACACTCAAACACATATTTAAATACATTTTTACGAAGACATTTTATGTGTTATATGCCACAGCAAATAGTTCATACAGTGGTTGTTTTAAGTATCCTTAAAGGGAATTTGCTAAGAGCTGGATTTACAAGGTAGAACAAAAAAGTGAATAACATATAGATGTCACTTTTAAAGTACAAATATAAAAAGAAAGACTAATGCATTAAAGTATATAACTTTTTTTCAACATCAAAGTTAGTTGTAAAAAACAAAAGTGTCAAAACAAAAGAAAATATGACTAAGGTTTGCTACAGCTTACCCATTGACAAGAAAAGCATAATGGTACAAAAAGATAAGCAAGCAACATTTTACAACACAGAAATATAATTGATTATAAATATAAAAATATTGTCATGTTTAGTAGTACTCATGAAGAAAAAGACCTGTGAAATTGACAAATACATTCAAATTATAATGTCAAATGCTGGTGAATTAAGCGATACAACACTTTTTATGAAGTATAAATATTTATAAAGCAGTGGTCCCTAATCTTTTTGGCACCAGGGATCAGTTTTGTGGAAGACATAGACAAAGTCGGTAGGGTATGATTTTGGAATGAAAGAATTCCATGTCACACACTAGTTAGATTCTCACAAGAAGCATGCAACCTAGATCCCTCCCATGCACAGTTAATAATAGATTCCCACTCTTAGGAGAATCAAATGCCACCATTGATGTGACAGGAGGTAGAACTCAGGTGATAACGCCAGCTCTCTGGCCGCTTACCTCCTGCTGTGCTGCCCCGTTCCCGGCAGGGCAAAGACGTGTAGTGGTCCGTGGCCTGGTAGGGGTGGGGGCCCCTGTTATAAAGTATTCATCAAAGGTAATTTGGTAAAGATATACAAATATTAAACAATGAGTATATCCTTTAACCCTTTTCCCATTTGTCTTGAGAATACTCACCAGCAGTACTTGTGGTTGCAGTGATTATCCTGAGATAAGTTTGCAATGAAATATCTCTCTTTTATTGTTATTTTTGCACCGGTCCAGTATGTCAACTTTGGAAATAAATACATAATTCTGTTTATACCATTTTGTTTTTAGTAGTGGTATTGATACTTACAAAATATAGTAATTCTTGACAGCTGAAAATGTCAAATCCTAGAAACTCCCAGCATTTCTACACAATGTTCTCAAAACAGTGGTTGGCTGAAGATTAATTTGATGAATCTGATTTTTCCGTAGACAATTCAGATGATTCAGATGATTCTGATGTTCTGTTTAGAAATAACTCCAAGAACAGTTTTTATATTTTATTTTCACATTGAAAATTAATCAAATTTGCTTCAGTTTCAAAGAGCATGTGTATATAAAATTAAATGAATGCTGACAGCAAGCTGCACTTTTTTTTCTAAGTGGGAAACAGGTCAATTCTATTTGTAGAAATGTATTTCAAAAAATATCCCCAAATATCAAGAGATGTTTATCATTTTATTGGAAAATGGGATTTATATTTTATTATGAGACCCTGATGTATATACTTATTCATAAAATGATAGAAACACATGGAATGGAATGTTATTAAAACTGCACATTTAATCTGGAAAATGTAAAAACAAACATATAGTGTTTTAGGTTACATTAAAAATAAAATATATGCTTAGAAAAAATTGTCTAGATAGAAATATATAGAAATATTAAGTGGTTGTCTTGTGTTAGAAGAAATACTCATATTGTTTAGCATTTCTAAAATTCCTATAATTATCAGGGAAAAATAAATAAGACAAAGTTTATAGTTGATAGAACCCTTTTCCCTCTGATTGTTTTTGTTTCCTATTCCAGTAAATAGGCTCTGAAGAAATGTAAACCAATCAATGATATACTTTAGTGAGACACAAGGATTTTTTTCTTTGCTTGCTTGCTTGCCATTTCCCTTTATGGATAATGGTAAGAAGCTACTTGTGAAGACTCGCTGCCATTAAATTTCTGTGCGATATTGTGAACTTAGTATGTTACATGTTTGAGGCATCCTTTTGTTGTTTAATTTTCAATATGAGTCATTTTTATTTCTTCACTAAACTTTAGGCCATTTTAACGCATAAGAATTTACATGAAAGAATGTTAAGAATTTACTCCAGAATCATTCATGTTGTTGAAAATGGTAGAAATTAAAGGATATGTAAAATCAGAATATGTATGGTGACCTATATATACGTATAATCACAATATTTCATGTGTGTGTGTGTGTGTGCGTGTGTGTGTGTGTGTGTGTGTGTGTGTGTGTTCCCCATGGAAATAAACTCTGTAAATATGTCAGATATTAGAATTCATACATCCAAATACATTCTCTTCTCACAACTCTGCACGGTGGTTATTATTCTTCTACTTCATGGAAAGAAATTAGATTTCAATGAGGTTAAATGGATTTCTCAATTCACAGAATTATTAAACTTTAGACCTGTGATCCAACTGTCTTTCTGACATAAAAACCATGATATGAAAATTGAAGATTAGAGTCTTAAAGCATTTGAGTTTGTAACTCTATGATAGTAGTTTATAACTATAATATATACAAGATTCCTAAATAATGGTAGTGGCAATGGAAAAAAAAGAGAAATGCGTATGATATAATGATACAGGATTCTGTCAGCCCGTTCTTGTGCTGCTATAAAGAAATACCTGAGGCTGAGTAATTTGAAAAGAAAAGAGGTTTACTTGTCTCATGGTTCAGCAGGCTGTAAAAAAAAGAAAGCGCAGCACTGCATCTGCTCCTGGTGAGCGCCTCAGGAAGCTTTTAATCATGGTGGAAAGCAAAGGAAGAACAGGCATGTCACATGGTGAGAGCAGGAGCAAGAGAGAGAGAGGAGTGGGAGGTCCAGACTCTTAAACAATCAGATCTCATGTGAACTAACTGACTGAGAACTCACTTATCACCAAGAGTATGGTGTCAAATCATTCTTTAAACACCTACCCCCATAATTCAATTACCTCCCACCAGGCTCCACCTTTAACATTGGGAATCACATTTCAACATGAAATATGGAGGGCACAAACATCCAAACCATATCATTCTGCCCCTGGCCCCCCAAATCTCATGTATTTCTCACATTTCAAAATAGAATCATGCCTTTGCAATAGTCCCCCAAAGTCTATTGTTCCAGCATTAACTTAAAAGTTCAAAGTCCAAAGTCTGATCTTGAGGTGAGTGTGTTCCTCCTATAAATTCAAAAATAAGTTATTTACTCCCAAGATACAATTGTGCTACAGGCATTACTACTGCAAACATTCCTACTGCAAAAGGGAAATGTCAGCCAAAAGAAAGGAGCAATTGGCCCCACAGAGGTCTAAAACCCAGTGGGGCAGATACTAAACCTTAAAGCTTCAACATCATCTCCCTTGGCTCCTTGTTCTGAATCTTTGGTACCCTGGTGAGAAGAGTGGGCTCCCAAGGTCTTAGACAGCTCCACCCCTATGGTTTTGCAGAGTGCAGCCCCCATGGCGGCTGTCATGACTTGGAGTTGAGTGCCTGCAACTCTTCCAGGCTCTACATGTAAGTTGCCCTTGGCTTTACAATTCTGATGTCTGGAGGACAATGGCCTTCTTCCCACAGTTCCACTAGGCAGCGCCCTGCTGAAGACTCTTTGTGATGGTTCCAACCCCACATTTGCCTTCTCCACTGTCCTGGAAGAGGTTTTTAGTTTGGGGTCCACCCCTGTGGTAGACTTCTGCCTGAGTACCTAGGCTTTCTCATACATCCTCTGAAATCTAGGTGGAAGCTGCCAAGCCTCATTCACTCTTGCATTTTATGCACCTTCAGACTTAACACCACGTGAAAATCTTCAAGACTTATGACTTGGACCTCTGGAGCAGCAATCTGAGCTGTACATGGGCTCCTTTGAGCCAAGGCTGGAGCTGGAATGGCCAGGATATAAAGAACAGTGTTCTGAGGCTAAGCGGGTCAGCAAGCAGTGTCGCAGGCCTGGCCCTTAAATTCTGTTCTCCTAGGCCTCTGGGCCTGAGATGAGAGGGGCTGCTTCAGAGTTTCCTGAAATGCCTTTGAAGCCTTTTCCCCATTGTTTTGGATATTAGCATGTGGCTTTCTTTTAATCGTACTAATAGCTCTAGCAAGTGGTTGCTCACAGTCTGCTTGGATTCATCTCCCAGAAAAAGTATTTTCTTTCTGTGCCACATGGCTAGGCTGTGAATTTTTCAATTTTTTGACTCTGCTTTCTTTTTAAATATAAGTTCCAACTTTAAGTCATCCCTTTGCTTCTTTATTTGGTCATAGGCTGTTAGAAGCAGCCAGGCTTCCTTTGGAACACTTTACTGCTTAGAAATTTCTTCTATAAGATACCCTAGGTCATCATTTTTAAGTTCAAACTCCCACAGATTCCTAGATCATGAACACAATGCAGCCAAATTCTTTGCTAGGACACAATACAGGTGACCTTCCTCCAGTTTTCCAATAACTTCCTCACTTCCACCTGAGACGGTGTCAGCTCGGCCTTCACTGTCTATATTTCTATCAGCATTTTGGTCACAACCACTTAGCAAGTCTCTAAGATGTTCCAAACTTTCCCTCATCTTCCTGTCTTCCCCTGAACCCTCCAGACTCTTCCAACCTTTGCTCATTACCCAGTTCCAAAGCTGCTTCCACATTTTCAGGTATCTTTAAAGCAATGCCCCACTTCTCAGTACCAATTTTTAGTATTAGTTTTTTCTTGTGTGTCAGAGAAAGAAATACTTAAGACTGGGTAATTTATACAGAAAAGAGTTTTAATTTGGCTCCTGATTCTGTAGGCTGTACAGGAAGTATGCAGCTGGGATTTGTTCCTGGTGAGGGCTCAGGAAGCTTATAACCATGGTGGAAGGGAAAGAGGGAGCAAGTGTGTGACATAGTGAGAGTGAGAGCACAAGAGAGAGACGGGGAAGGTCCCAGACTGTTTTAAACAACCAGATCTCACATGAACTAACTGAAAAAGAACTCACTTATCACCAAGGGGATGGTGCTAAACCATTCATGAAGGATCTAACCTTATGACACAATCACCTTCCACCAGGCCCCACCCTCCACCAGGTCCCACCTTCCATCAGGCCCCACCTCCAATATTGTGAATTACATTTCAATATAAAAATTGGAGGGGACATATATACCAACCACGTTAATGATGCACAGTGAAATGATACTCAACCACCCACCAAACTATTTTTTCTTCAGAAATATGAATTTTAGCAAATGGCACCATTATCTGTTTGTTCAATCTAAATAGAATATTAAACACACACATAAAAGGAAATTCCAAAAGTCTCTTAATGACTCTCTTTGGCTAAATATATATTCTATCAGAGAGTCTTTAATAACCTATTTCCAAAATACAGGCTTCCCTAATTACATGTCAAAAACATCCTTGAAAAAGTTGAAGTTGAATAGTTAAATTTTGTTTGTTTGTTTGTTTGTGTTTTTTTTTTTTTGAGACAAAGTCTCACTCTGTCGCTCAAGCTGGAGTGCAGTGGTGCAATCTTGGCCCATTTCAACCTCCACCTCCTGGGTTCAAGTGATTCTCCTGCCTCAGCCTCCCTGGTAGCTGGGATTACAGGTGTGGCCAGCATTCCTGGCTATTTTTTTTTTTTTTTTTTGTATTTTTGGTAGAGACAGGGTTTCATCATCTTGGCCAGGCTGGTCTCAAAGTCCTGACCCCAAGTGATCTGCCCGCCTTGACCTCCCAAAGTGCTGGGATTACAGGCGTGAGCCACCACACCTGGCTGAATAGTTAAATTTGGCATAGTGAGGCTTTATATTCCATTCCATTCCATTGACAGAGGGAAAGAGTAATGCAATGCCAACTCATCCAACGACCCAATCCTATTTTGCCTAAATATCAGGAAAACAGCTTAAAATATCCAAATATTCACTATTCTGTATTAAATATTTTCAAACTTTCCTTTCTATCAACACCAGAAAGTACTGCATGCATGGTAGATTAGATGTGCACCTCCAAACTTCGGCCCTTAAACTTAACCTCAGGTAAACACATTTTATGTTGTTCAAAATATTCCTAATGTTTGAGCCTTCCTATGACTCTGTATCTCACCAAGTTTCTTCACTAACTTTTGCAAGTTCTTAGGATATATTTTCACATTTCCTTGAGGTAGGGAATATTATAGGTATGCTAAGCAACATACTTAATGATCACAAATATGAGACTGATTCCAATCGGGAAGACAGTAGAACTAAGTATGCAGAGTAGTCTACAGGCTGTGCCTAGACGTTTGCACAATCATATGTTTTGGGGATTATCTGTGTCTCAGTCTGCTGGGGTTGCTGTGATAAAAACAACAGAAATATATGTTCTCACAGTTCTGGTGGTTGGAAGTCCAAAATCAAAGTGTCAGGATGGTTGGGTTTTAGTGAGGGTCCACTTCCTGACTTACAGATGGCTGCCTTATTCCTGTGTTCTGACATGGCCTTTCTTTTTTGTGCACACCAAGAGAAAGATATTCCTGGCCTCTTATTTCTTTCTACAAGGACATTAATCCTATTGAAGTAGGGCTGTACCCTTATACCTTCATTTAGCCTTAATTACTTTCATAGAGGTCCTATCTCAAAATAACAGTCTGACTGAGAATTGGGGCTTCAAGGTAGGAATTTTGTGGGAACACAAGCATCCCATCTATAAAAACCTGGAAAAACAAATTTATTATAGCATTTTTCAATACAAAATATAAGTTTTGGACAACCATTATTTCAAATGTGCTATTGGAAATATTCAGAGGGTCAAAGATCAGATCACCAGGTATACCAATACCTATAGGATTTTTGCACCATCTCTGTGTCTCATCTGGATTAATGCAACGTCCTCCAAACTGGTCCCTGCAATACTTAAAACTTCACAAGAGTTTCCCATTTAACTTCCAAAGATATTGTAACTATTTCATATTCAGCATAGTCTTGCTCGTCCCTGCCCGTCTCTGCAGCTCCACTTCTTGTCTGCCCATGGTGGACTTCTTCTATTGTGTTTATGCCTTCAGTCACAAATTGATGCCATAACTCAATTTTTGCATGTTCTTTTCTCTTTATTGAAAGTACCATTTTCTTTGTGTAACAGATTCTCTCTATCTATTCAGTTCTCCAGATGCCTGTTTCTGACTATTGTACTGGGACTTGCATGCCATATTGACCAATAACATAAGAACCCTCCCACCTACTCACACACATGACAATAGTTTACACTTCTTCAAATTTCTTCTTTCTGTCTTAGCTTTTTTTGTGATTTTTATGGTATAATTATTTTTCCCACATTAAGTTGAGAAAACCTATAATACCTATTTATCAACTGTTTTATTTCTAGTGCTTTTCACAGACTGAGCCATCTGAACCATAATAGGCATTCAATAAAAAATTGATACATTAATAAATGAAGAAAATAATTAAATATTTAGCATATAGATATCATAGCGCTTGGCTGTTAATTTCATGTAGTAGCAAACAAAACAGCTTAAAATATTAAAAGATTAATGTCCAAATGAAAGTGACCATTATGACAGCTGATGAGAAAACTGGACAGGCTAAAAGTTAAGATTCCTCTTGGGAATTTTTAAGAGATGGATTTGGATAGGTAAAGTGGGCAAGGGGATTTAAGAACATATACAAGCAAGAATTCATCATTGTCAACTTTTTTTGTTAATATTCTATACTAATTATGTGTACTTACTGTTATGTATCAGGCATTGGGGTAAGCAGTTTAAATGTGTTATATCATCTAATAATGAGATGTGATTGGTTTTATAGTTCTCGTATAGATAGGAAAAGTGAAGCTCATAGAGTCAAAGTCACAGTCCCCAGGTACTTGACCTG
The DNA here is from genome assembly GCF_000001405.40 of Homo sapiens. Classification (NCBI taxonomy): domain Eukaryota; kingdom Metazoa; phylum Chordata; class Mammalia; order Primates; family Hominidae; genus Homo; species Homo sapiens. The sequence continues at coordinate 21,241,367 of NC_000005.10, read as the reverse complement.
AAAGGGTGGGGCTTCCAGAATGCTGGGTCCTTCTGAAAAAAAAAAAATTGTCTAGTCTTCAGCTCTTTGCCATTATGGGAAGGAGACATTGAATGATGAAATATAATCAGACTAGAAGCATTATTTCAAAATAGCAAAACAGCAGCAATAGCAGTTCATAATTTTAAAAAGTACTTTCAAATTATCTCATGGGATCCTCATAGCAACCCTGTTAGCAGAATGGGAATTGTGACTATGAAAAAGAACCAATTACGATTTTTAAAAATTCCAATTCTTCTACCTACCAATACTGCTGATTTCGAAGAATAATGTATTTGTAATTAAGTTGTCTTTATTGGGACTTAGAACTCTATCATTTCCTGTTTGCTTGAAATGTACCAAATTAAAAAGGTGAGTATTCATTTGACAGAAAGAGTAGTGCTGGGCCTTGCTGCACATCAGAATCACCATGGGAACATGAACATATTGAGATCCATCAACCCTACGCTATGCAATCCTATCAGGATTTTTGAGATATGGTAAAACTTAGAATTAAAAAAAATGAGATTTCTGCTGGATCTAATCTTTGGCACTAATGACATATTTGTGATAGGCTTATTTTGGCCTTATCCTGTGTTCTTTCCTTCAGCTCAATATCCTACTTGATATTTGGCATGCTGTTTAAGAAACACAAAAGATCATAGAAACAGCCAAAGGATAATGCATATATATAAAATCCCTTTCTCATATTAGAAATTTTATCCCCAATTCTGATGGCTTTATCTTTGTCCACTTTACTTTCGCCATGTAATTGCAAATGTATCATTAACAGTAAATAGAACAGATATTGATATTTTATTTTTATTGATGGGTATGTGAGACAAATAAAGATTAAAATTTTATACATTAATTCAATAACTAATTGTTGAACACTTATTGTAGGTTAAACACTGTGAAAGATGCTAGAAATACAAAGTCAAATAAAATGTGATGTAGATCCTGAAGGGCCTTAAATTTCATTAACACAAAATTCCATTAAAGTGTAGCAGGTAATGTGAAAGTATTCTATGCAGGGCACAGTTTGCACAAAATGTAGGTTAGAATTAGGAGGTGGTATAGTATTTAAGGCAAAAAAAAACTGTGAGCTTGGACAGTCAAAGTCATACAACTTTTTATTGATCTAATAATGATTAGTAGCCACTTCTTATGAATCTGAATCCAAGATTTTCTATTTTATTATTGTTAAGTTTTATGGATAGGGGAGCTAGCTGTAGTGGTTTAGATAATACAGTTAGACAAAAGTAGTTGAGGTGGCACTGAAGAAAAAATTCTCAAAGAAAATTCTACAGATAAAAGAGATATAAGTTTGTAATGCAGAGAGAGAAGAGACAAAAATGAATCTGAGGTAGCAAGCCAGATAAACTTGTGGAATCTGTTTTCACACCTGAACTTGGGTTGAGGACTTGATATTGGGGAGAAACTCTCTTGCCTTGAAAGTGCCATCCCTTAAGAAATCCACGTGTATGTTCAAAGTGGACTGCAAAACATTCAATGAAATAAGTCTATTTTCAATTTTAATCACTCACTCAACCCATTGTTGCCGCTGAGGAGGTACTGATTAAAACACTCCTACTTCCCACTTAGGTTCTGAACTAATTGAGAGACAAAAGTAGGATTGGTAGATGAAGACCAAAATATCTACTTTATCACTGATGGGCAGAATTGGAAGACAGAGCCTAAAAGCACTTCCTCACCCAAAACTCAGGATTAGGCAGACCCACCCACCCAGTTGCAGGATGGACAGGGACATACTCATTCTGTGGCACCTTGTTTCCAAGAGGAAAAAGATGAAGTTGATCACATTGTTATATTTTCCCAATATATATCATTCAGATAAATCATAGCTTCCTCTCAGGGGCTCAGGGTAGGAGCATCTTCAGAGGAGTCTGTCTATAAGTCAGAGACTGTGTCTAAATTTTTGTGTCTCTTACAACGTGCTTATCACATATCTCTTACAATATGTTTATCATGTTTTCCTGCAAAAAAACAGAATATTCTACTAAAAATATTTTCATCATTAAGGTTGTTGATTATTTCACTGAATAAAAGTTCTGGAAGGAGGCAGTTCCAGAATCATTGATTCATTAGCTCAGCAATTGAAGAATGTAATTTTCTGTTATTGCTTTTGGTTCACAAAGTTGTCCCAACAGACTTGCCAAAGTGCCAAGTCTTCATGTGACAGCATCCATACGTTCAAAGGAATTAAGTGGTTTTCTTTTTGTTTTTCTACTTTTACTTAAATATGCAAATGTTATCTTTCCCAGAAGCCCCACATCACATGTCTTCTGACGTCTGAGTCACTAGAATTTGTCATTTCCTAATCCTTATCAAATAACAGATAACTGGAAATGGAATTACTGCAATTGACTGAGACTCATCATAGTGTATCCTTGGACCTATTGAAGGAAACTATTATTCCTGAGCTCTCTGTTGCTCTTGGTATGTCTGAAAAGCGCTGAAATAAATCAGAATTCTTTTGGCAAGGAAGTTAAGAGCTTGAATCATATTTATCAAATAATCGTTTTGTTCCCTTTGCCCTATTTACCTTCCTATAAAAAATATTCAACTTTTTGGATGAATGTAATATTATTAATTTATGGATAGAGTAAAATGCTGATGTCTGTAAATATTGTTTCATGCAAATGCAAAATATTAATACAATTCAATTTTAGGTAATGTTGAATTATTCCAACATAAATGAAAATTAAAACATTATCAAAATGGATTTAACTAACTAAACAAACAGAATATCTTTGAAAAATAATGTTGCCGGCCCTGCATGGTAGCTTACGTCTGTAATCCCAGCACTTTGGGAGGCAGGGGAGGGCAGATCATGAGGTCAAGAGATCAAGACCATCCTGGCCAACATGGTGAAACCCCATCTCTACTGAAAATACAAAATTCAGGTGGGCATGGTGGTGTGAACCTGTAGTCCCAGCTACTTAGGAGGCTGAGGCAGGAGAATCACTTGAACCTGGGAGGCAGAGGTTACAGTGAGCCGAGATCATGCCACTACACTCCAGCCTGGCGACACAGAGAGACTCTGTCTCAAAAAAAAAAAAAGAAAAGAAAAAGAAAAAGAATGTTGCCTATACAATTGATTCATTTGGTCATTTCATCATTTATGAACAAAGTATTCCTTTCTTTTTCTTCAGGCAGTCATCTAAAACATCTAATATAAAATAAAAGCTTCTTGGTAATATATCAAAATACAGATGTATATCTGAAATTCTGTATTTTTGACACAAGGATCTAGAGGAAATTTCCACATATATTATAATAAAATGGGTCAGAATTAAGTTGTTAATTAATTAAAACTATATCACATTATGACTGATTATAATACTTGACCAAGGAACAATATAGTAGCTATCTTCAACTTTCAAGTGTAAATAGAAAATAAGCACTTTTTGATTTAAACAAAGCTTTTGCAAAATGTGTATTAATATAATTGGTATGCTTTAAACAGGATGTTGCAAATGTTCAGAATACCATGCAGTCAGGTGATTACCACAGGTCTTTGGTTCTTAATTATCCATAGGAAAGCCAAATGAATCAGTAGTCAAATGAGGGCAATTATCACGTTTACAGAAGAACATGACTCTCTGGATGAAGCTTTCTGCAAGTCTCATTTGCTATTACAAATTCAGTAGTAGAGCATTTCAATACAAGTGAGGTTTGAATGATGCAATATAAGCCAAATGCTGTCAGTTTTGGGGCTGCAGACAATATGGTACAGAGTCACACATGTTTTCCAAAGTTTATTTTGGCAAATTTCTGAATATAGAAAATGTGATAATTTCATTCTGAAAGGCTTACTTGTGGGAACAGAAATTACTGTTATTATGGATTCCACTAAGATATATCATTTCATTAAGGCACAATTAATGAAGGAGGATTAGAAGAACTTCCAGTTGTAAATTGCCCTCTTCCTCTTTGTTGCCTAGCTGTGTAGAATATACTGAAAAGATTTTCTGTCTGAAGTAGCTATAAAAATGTAACCCACATGTCCCAAACGTCCAGCTAAATAAACTCTCCGTGGCAATTAGCATGTGTGTGCAGTTAGAAATCAAAGAGAAATACAGGCTTTTTCTTCTAAAAAGTATGCTTTGCTATTAATCAAGAGTAATGACTCTCAGCAGCACTGTTTCAGTAGCAGTTTTAAAGATTAAAAATATAATTGACTCATTGATGCCTTGGATGTCCAAACACTTCTTATGAGTCAGTATATTAAATGTCTAATTATAGACAATGATAATTCTTTTCCTGAGACATGTCCCAGCAGTGTTTTGGATTGTAAAAGGAAATAAAAGGACTAGGAATAGCTACATGACTCATGTTTTAAAATGAGTGCCTCTTTTCCTATGGAACAGATTAACTTTTCTAAATAGCCACTAGTACCAGATGCTGCTTGGTTAATCCTATGATATGGGAAGACCCTAAATAACATCCAGATATCAATTACTCTCATTAGAATGGATACTTTTCTTTATCATAACAAAAAATGTCAAAACTCAAACATCACTCACAACCCACCACCAACTTCAACATCAACAAGAAGAACTAGCAAAAGGGCATTTGAGTAAACACACACACACACACACACACACAAACTTCATATATATGTGTGTATGTATATATATAAACTACATATATGTGTGTGTTTGTTGTGTAGTTTACACACACACACACACACACATACTTGTCAAGGGACATGCAATTCTTGAGAAAGCTGAAATATGTCAGTACAGACAAGATAACAAGATGTAAAGGGTATTGATTGAAGTTCTAAAGCCATTTAGATTTTATGTTATCTAGGGTCCACATTTTTTTCAAATCCACCTAAACTTATATTCTTTTCTCGCTTCTGCCCATTTTTTTCTTGATTTTTCTCTGTCTTTTCAAAATCAAAATTTCATTGTAATGACAATTTTCTTGATGCCAATCTGGCCAGTCATGGTTGACTGAGTCTACTTTCATTGCCATGTGGTTTATAATTCTAGTTGCATAACTCACTCAATGTTGTCAAAACACTGATGATGTCTAGTAAAAAGTACAGTAGAAGTATATTGAGACATTAAGAATTAAACATATTTGTTGACTTGATGAGTACTCTCTCTGTAAGACTATAACTCAAAAGAAGCATTCATTGTTTTATGTACCTCTTAAAATATCCATGATACATCATTAACAAATAATTGGTTCACTGAAGGAAATGAATATGATAGTTTTTGAATTTAGTAATCAATTTTATTATTTCTGCACTGTTAATTTTCTCTTAGCATATTTCTGAGTGAAATAAAAAATAGGCTCCTTAGATTTATCAAGTTACAATGACTGCATAAATGTTCTATTTTTCTTGGCTTTAAACAAATAGCAGTCTAAAATAAGGAATCCATTTCAATCTAATGTATTGAGTATCTTAAACTTTCATCCAACTTAGGCCTGATCAATTTTGTAGGCCTGACAGAAAGAGCAAAGACTTGGCAGAAATGATGACAAATTGATGTCACTACTTTTCTTATTAACTAGGCAGCCAATGCTGACACTTAAACAGACTCCTTGGAGAATGCTGCAAAGACAATCTTTGACCAAGTTTTTTTGTTTCTAGCAATGTTTTAGGCTAGCACCTTGTGACATTGCTCCTCAGTACTCATGGTTCTTGTTCATTTTATCTCCAGGCTCTACTCTTGGCATTAGTCCATCTGTCTCTCTCTTTCTCTCATAAGGGATGCCTGTTGAAAGACACAAAACTTTGTCCATCTCTTAGTGGAAGCACAGTGCATTCCTAATGATACTCCCCTCCCCTTTATTCTGCCCCCAGGAAAGGGAAAATGTCTTTAATCTTACGAATTAGGAGTCGCATATGGCTCCTCTGCATCTATCAATATCCAGTGCCACCCATGTCAGCCTCTTCAGACAGTCTCCTTGAATGCCTCTCTCTCAATACATGATATTAAGGACTCATTCCAGATTTCCCCTTCTCAAGGACTGGGCAATAGTGCAACTGCAATGAAAATCTCTGCAATAAAATCCTCTTCTCCTCAGCACTCTCAACTCACATATTTAATATAGATGACAGACTGACTCTAGCCGAAGTACCTCTACAAAGTCCAGTGCACCCTCATCAGCTGAATTAGCACCACGCTTTAGAATTGAGGGTACCTGGTATGGACTCAATCATTCTGTCTTTAGGCTACAGCCTAACAAGTTATTTTTGTTAACATCTTTTCATGTTAAACTGATTAATACTTTGTCGAGCTATTATGTATAATAGGAACTCTGCTAGTAACTTTACGTGTGATATCTAACCCCCATAATAAACATTTAGTGCCATGATGATTCTTTTATAAATAAAAACCAAAGATCGTGGATTTTTACATAATTAATTCAAGATCAAAACACTTGTAACTGGAATAGCTGAGATTAGTCCTCAGGGTTCCCATCTTTCCCATAAAAAATAAGGAGATTTGAAATATTATCTTTGGAAGGCTTCTTATGTGCCAGGCATTTTAGATTCTTTTACATTTGGTTACTCAGTCTTACAGCAACCAAGCAAAAATGATGATATTCTAATGTATGAAAAAAAGGAGTAATTATATTCACTTTTCAATGTCATAAGGTACAAATTGTGCAACCAGAGTGGGATAATTTTTAATATAAAATCCATGCACATTCAATTACACAATTTTGCCTTCTAGCAATTATGTCTTATTTACTTCATTACAAATCCAGCCTATTGCCTTAGGCTTCTTTGCAATTGACTACTTTTATTAATATGGGTAGGCAGAGGTTTTCTATGACATGATTCATGCAAAGCAGCAGCATTCATTAGTTTATTCACAGTACCAATAATTGATTTTGAATTCTATCAAGCACTATGAAAAGGGATAGGTATATCATAATAAAACATTCTATTGGCCTCAATTTGCTCACTCCTATAGGAGTAAGAGACATTAAAATAATTACAATGTAACGCTAAAAAGATTTGGTAGAACTTGGAACTATTATGTTGTGAAAGCACCAGGGCAGGGTGCCTTAGTAATAAAACTGATATTTGAGGTGAGATTGAGAGAAGAGAAACTATACAGGTCAGACAAGAAGGCAGAAAAGGGAATATTCAGAAAGTAATAAGGGCATGAATATGAAATTATGACTAATTTGTTATAACTGTAGCATCAAGTACATGGACAGAAGACAAGCCTGGTTTTCACAAAGGAAATAAAAAGTAAATCAATCTGACTTTTGATGAGATTTATTTTTTGTATTCTTTAATCAGCCATTTTTTTCCTTCAGTCTTTAACATATGTTTCCTGAGTTCTTGCTGGCCACCAGATATGAAATGAAAGCACAATATGACAATTCTTGTAACTGTCATGAGTGCTGTAAGAGCGTAGGAAGAGGTAGAAGATTTTTCATGTGTACAGCACCTCACTGGAATGCCTCTTTCAAAACATGGGAGTGTCTCTTGAAACATGTGAACATGGACTGGTGATTCTAGTTCTTTAAAGAAATTCATGAATAGACTTTATTTGTTGGAGTAGTTTTAAATTTATAGAAAAATTCTGCAGATAGTACAGAAAGTTTCCATATACCCTCTCTCCTCTACTATTAATACCTTGCATTAGTGTGGCGCCTTTGTCATAATTGATGAACCACTATTGATACATTATAATTAACTAAAGTCCAGGGTTAACATTAGGGTGCACAATTTGTATTTTACAGCTCTCTGGGTTTTGATGAATGCATAAGATCACATATCCAGAGGACAGTACAGAATAACTTCACAGCCCTAAAATCTCTCTCTGCTTCACCTGTTTATTCCTCTCCTTTCCCCTGAACCCATAGCAATCACTGACCTTTTCCTTTTCTAGAATACATACAGTTGGGATCATATAGTTTGTAACCTTTGCAGACTGGCTTATTTCACTTAGGAAATTTAGGAATATGTATTTAAGGTTCCTCCATGTCTTTTTGTGGCTTGATAATTTCTCTTTCTCTCTCTCTCTCTCTCACCTCTTCTTTTTTTTTTTTTTTTTTTTTTTTTTGAGATAGAGTTTCACTCTTTCACCCAGGTTGGAGTGCAGTGGCTCGATCTCAGCTCACTGCAACCTCCACTTTCCAGTTTCAAGTGATTCTCCTGCCTCAGCCTCCCAAGTAGCTGGGATTACAGGTGCCCACCATCATGCCTGGCTAATTTTTGTATTTTTAGTAGAGACAGGGTTTCATCATGTTGGCCAGGCTGGTCTCAAACTCCTGACCTCGTGATCCATCCACTTCAGTCTCCCAAAGTGCTGGGATTACAGGCGTGAGCCATCAAGCCTGGCCTCCACTCTCTTTTTTTGTTTTTTTTTTGTTTTTGTTTTTGTTTTTGTTTTTGAGACAGGGTTTCACTCTGTTGCCCAGACTGAGGGTAGAGGTGACATCACACCTCACAGTAGCCTCAACCTCTCAGGCTCAGGTGATCCTCCCACTTTAGCTTCCCAGGTAGCTGGGACTACAGGCATGTGCCACCAGGCCTGGCTAACTTTTTGCATTTTTTCTAGAGATCAGATTTCGCCATTTGCCCTAGCTGGTCTCAAACTACTAGGCCCAAGCAATTCACCCTCCTCAGCCTCTCAAAGTGCTGGGATTACAAGTGTGAGCCACCATGCCTGGCCAAAACTTGATAATTTCTTTGATTGTTCAACAGTATTCTATTATAAGGATGTACCACAATTTGTTTATCCATTCACCTATTGAAAGACATCTTGGCTGCTTCCAGTTTGAGGCAATTATGAATAAAGCTACTATAAACACTCAAGTGCAGTTTTTGTGCAGACATAAATTTTCAACTCATTTTGGTAAATATCTAAGGAGTAGCATAGCTGGAACATATGTTAAAACTCTATTTTTAGCTTTGAAAGAAACTTGTAAAGTTTCCTAAGGGGCTGTTCCATTTTGCATTCTTATCAGCAATGAGTAAACATTCCTATTGCTCTGCATCTTCATCAGAATTTGGTGTAGTCAGTTTGGAGGATTTTAGCCATTGTAATGCATGTGCAGGTGTAGCACATTGCTGTTAATTTGCAATTCGCTAATGACAAATGATGTTGGGCACCTTTTCATAGGTTTATTTGCCATTTGTATAGATTGTTTGATGAGGTGTCTGTTCAGATTTTTTGCCCATTTTTGATTGGATCATTTGTTTCTTATTATTGAATTATAAGGTGTTCTTTGTATATTTAGAATAACAGTCCTTTATCAAATATATGTTTTGCAAACATTTTCGCCCAGTCTGTGGCTCATCTTTCATTCCATTCACAGTATCTTTTTGCAGATCAGAAAATTTTAATTGTACTGAGCTCTAAGTTATCTTTTTTGTTCCTTCATAGATTGTGCTTTTGATATTGTACCTAAAAACTCATCAAAAAACTCAACATCATCTAGATTTTCACCTATGTGTGCTGACTTTAGAAGTTTTATAGATTTGCAGTTCACAAATTGATTTGGGATCCATTTTGAGTTAATTATTGTGAACAATATGAGGTCTGGGCCTAGATTAATTTTTTTCTGTACATGTCTAGTTGTTCCTTTCAAAAAAATGACTGTCCTTTCTTCATTGAATTGGCCTTGCATTTCTGTCAAAGATCAGTTGACTATATTGGTGGGGGTCTATTTCTGGGCCACCTCTTTTGTCCCCTTGATCTATTTGCCTATTATTTTGCAAATACCAATGTATTTTGGATACTATAGGTTTAAAGGAAGCGTTGATTCTTTGGAATTTTTTACGTAAACGATGACTTCTGTAGAAGAAAAACAAAACAAAACAACAACAAAAATGTGTTTCGTATTTCCCAATCTGTGTATTTTTTATTTTCCTTTTTGTTTCTTTTTTTCTTAAGATGCATTATATTTTCTATAAAATGGAATTTTATTTTATTTATTTTTTTATTATACTTTAAGTTCTGGGGTACAAGTGCAGAACGTGCAGGTTGTTATATACGTATACATGTGCCATGGTGGTTTGCTGCACCAATCAACCTGTCATCTACATTAGGTATTTTTCCCAATGCTATCCCTTCCCTAGCCCCCCAAGCCCCGACAGGCCCCAGTGTGTGATGTTCCCCTCCCTGTGTCCATGTGTTCTCATTGTTCACCTCCTGCTTATGAGTGAGAACATGCAGTGTTTGGTTTTCTGTTGTGTTAATGTGCTGAGAATGATGGTTTCCAGCTTCATCCATGTCCCTGCAAAGGACATGAACTCATCCTTTTTTATGGCTGAATAGTAGTCCATGGTGTATATGTGCCACATTTTCTTTATCTAGTTTATCATTGATGAGCATTTGGTTTGGTTCCAAGTCTTTGCTATTGTGAATAGTGCCATAATAATCATACGTGTGCATGTGTCTTTGTAGAAGAATGATTTATAATCCTTTGAGTATATACACAGTAATGAGATTGCTGAGTAAAATGGTATTTCTAGTTCTAGATCCTTGAGAAATCACCACACTGACTTCCACAATGGTTGAACTAATTTACACTCCCACCAACAGTGTAAAAGCGTTTCTATTTCTCCACATCCTCTCCAGCATCTGTTGTTTCCTCACTTTTTAATGATCGCCATTCTAAATGGTGGGAGATGGTATCTTATTGAGGTTTTGATTTGCATTTCTCTAATGACCAGCGATGATGAGCATTTTTTCATATGTTTGCTGGCTGCATAAATGTCTTCTTTTGAGAAGTGTCTGTTCGTATCCTTCACCCACATTTTGATGGTGTTTTTTTCTTATAAATTTGTTTAAGTTCTTCGTAGATTCTGGATATTAGCCCTTTGTCAGATAGAGACATTGCAAAAATTTTCTCCCATTTTGTATGTTGCCTGTTCACTCTGATGATAGTTTATTTTGGTGTGCAGAAGCTCTTTATTTTAACTAGATCCCATTTGTCTACTTTTGCTTTTGGTGATTTAGTCATGAAGTCTTTGCCCATGCCTATGTCCTGAATGGTATTGCCTAAGTTTTCTTCTAGGGTTTTTATGGTTTTAGGTCTTATGTTTAAGTCTTTAATCCATCTTAAGTTAATTTTTGTATAAGCTGTAAGGAATGGATCCAGTTTCAGCTTTCTGCATATGGCTAGCCAGTTTTCCCAACACCATTTATTAAATAGGGAATCCTTTCCCCACTGCTTGTTTTTGTCAGGTTTGTCAAAGGTCAGATGGTTGTAGATATGTGGTGTTATTTCTGAGGCCTCTGTTCTGTTCCATTGGTCTACTTATCTGTTTTGGTACCAGTACTTGCTGTTTTGATTACTGTACCCTTGTAATATAGTTTGAAGTCAGGTAGCGTGAGGCCTCCAGCTTTGTTCTTTTTGCTTAAGATTGTCTTGGCTATGTGGGCTCTTTTTTGATTCCATATGAAATTTAAAGTAGTTTTTTTCAAATTCTGTAAAGAAAATCAATGGTATTTTGATGGGGATAGTATTGAATCTATAAATTACTTTGGGCAGTATGGCCATTTTCACAATATTGATTCCTCCTATCCATGAGCATGGAATGTTCTTCCATTTGTTTGTATCCTCTCTTATTTCCTTGAGCAGTGGTTTGTAGTTCTCCTTGAGGAGGTCCTTCACATCCCTTGTAAGTTGGATTTCTAGATATTTTATTCTCGTTGTAGCAATTGTGAATGGGAGTTCACTCATGATTTGGCTCTCTGTTTGTCTGTTATTGGTGTATAGGAATGCCTATGATTTTTGCACATTGATTTTGTATCCTGAGGCTTTGCTGAAGTTGTTCATCAGGTTAAGGAGATTTGGAGATGAGACAATGGGTTTTTCCAAATATACAATCATGTCATCTGCAAACAGTGAAAATTTGACTTCCTCTTTTCCTACTTAAATGCCCTTTATTTCTTTCTCTTGCCTGACTGCCCTGGCCAGAATTTCCAATACTATGTTGAATAGGAGGAGTGAGAGAGGGCATCCTTGTCTTGTGCTGGTTTTCAAAGGGAATGCTTCCAGTTTTTGCTCATTCAGTATGATATTGGCTGTGGGTTTGTCATAAATAGCTCTTATTATTTTGAAATATGTTCCATGAATACCTAGTTTATTGAGAGTTTTTAGCATGAAAGGCTGTTGAATTTTGTCAGATGCCTTTTCTGCATCGAGATAATCATGTGGATTTGGCATTGGTTCTGTTTATGTGATGGATTATGTTTATTGATTTGTGTATGTTGAACCAGCCTTGCATCCCATGGATGAAGCCAACTTGATCACTGTGGATAAGCTTTTTGATGTGCTGCTGGATTTGGTTTGCCAGGATTTTACTGAGGATTTTCCCATCGATGTTCATTTGGGATATTAGCCTAAAATTTTCTTTCTTTGTTGTGTCTTTGCCAGGTTTTGGTGTCACGATGATGCTGATCTCAAAAAATGAGTTAGGGAGGATTCCCTCTATTTCTATTGTTTGGAATAGTTTCAGAAGAAATGGTACCAGCTCCTCTTTGTCCCTCTGGTAAAATTTGTCTCTGAATCTGTCTGGCCCTGGACTTTTTTTGGTTGGTAGGCTATTAATTACTGCCTCAATTTCAGAACTTGTTATTGGTCTATTAAGGGATTTGACTTCTCTCTGGTTTACTCTTGGGAGGGTGTATGTGTCCAGGAATTTATCCATTTTTTCTAGATTTCCTAGTTTATTTGTATAGAAGTGTTTATAGTGTTCTCTGATGGTGCTTGTTTTCTGTGGGATCAGTGGTGATATCCCCTGTATCAGTTTTTATTGTGTCTATTTGATTCTTCTCTCCTTTCTTGTTTATTAGTCTTGCTGGGGGTCTATCAATTTTTTTCATCTTTTCGAAAAACCAGCTTCTGCATTCATTGATTTTTTGAAGAGTTTTTTTTTGTGTGTCACTATCTCCTTCAGTTCCACTCTGATCTTAGTTATTTCTTGTCTTCTCTTACCTTTTGAATTTCTTTGCTCTTGATTCTCTAGTTCTTTTAATTGTGATGTTAGGGTATCAATTTTAGATCTTTCCTGCTATCTCTTGTGAGCATTTCGTGCTATAAATTTCCATCTACACATTGTTTTAAATGTGTCTCAGAGATTCTGATACATTGTGTCTTTGTTCTCATTGGTTTCAAAGAACATCTTTATTTCTGCTTTCAATTCATTATTTACCCAGTAGTCATTCAGAAACAGGTTGTTCAGTTTCCATGTAGTTGTGCAGTTTTGAGTAAGTTTCTGAATCCTGAGTTCTAATGTGATTGCACTGTGGTCTGAGAGACGGTTTGTTAAGATTTCCATTCTTTGCGTTTGCTGAGGAGTGTTTTACTTCCAATTATGTGGTCAATTTTAGAATAAGTGTGATGTGGTGCTGAGAAGCATGTATGTTCTGTTGATTTATGGTGGAGAGCTCTGTAGATGTCTATTAGGTCCACTTGGTCCAGAGCTGAGTTCCAGTACTGGATATCCTTCTTAATTTTCTGTCTTGTTGATCTGACTAGTGTTGACAGTAGGGTGTTAAAGTCTCCCACTATCATTGTGTGGGCATCTAAATCTCTCTGTAGGTCTCTTAGAACTTGCTTCATGAATCTGGGTGCTCCTGTATTGGGTGTGTATATATTTAGGATAGTTAGCTCTTCTTGTTGCATTGATACCTTTACCATTATGTAATGCTCTTGTCTCCTTTGATCTTTGTTGGTTTAAAGTCTGTTTTATCAAAGACTAGGATTGTAACCCCTGCTTTTTTTTTTTTTTTTTTTTTTGGCTTTCCATTTGCTTGGCAAATATTCCTCCATCCCTTTATTTTGAGCCTATGTGTGTCTTTGCACAGGAGATGCGTCTGCTGAATACAGCACACCGATGGGTCTTGACTCTTTATGGAATTTGCCAGTCTGTGTCTTTTAATTGAGGCATTTAGCCCATTTATATTTAAGGTTAATATTGTTATGTGTGAATTTGATCCTGTCATTTTGATGCTAGCTGGTTATTTTGCCCATTAGTAGATGCAGTTTCTTCATAGTGTTGATGGGCTTTACAATTTGGTATATTTTTGCAATGGCTGGTACCAGTTGTTTCTTTCCCTGTTTAGTGCTTCCTTCAGGAGTTCTTGTAAGGCAGGCATGGTGGTGAGAAAATCTCTCAGCATTTGCTTGTCTGTAAAGGATTTTATTTCTCCTTTGCTTATGAAGCTTAGTTTGGCTGGATATGAAATTCTGGGTTGAAAATCATTTTCTTTCAGAATGTTGAATAGTGGCCCCCACTCTCCTCTGGCTTGTAGGGTTTCTGCCGAGAGATCCACTGTTAGTCTGATGGGCTTCCCTGTGTGGGTAACCCGGCCTTTTCTTTCTGGCTTCCCTTAACATTTTTTCCTTCATTCAACCTTGGTGAATCTGAATTATGTATCTTGGGGTTGCTCTTCTCGAGGAGTATCTTTGTGGTGTTCTCCGTATTTCCTGAATTTGAATGTTGGTCTGCCTTGCTAGGTTGGGGAAGTTCTCCTGGATAATATCCTGAAAAGTGTTTTCCCATTTGGTTCCATCCTCCCCATCACTTTCAGGTACACCAATCAAATGTAGATTTGGTCTTTTCACATAGTCCCATATTTCTTGGAGGCTTTGTTCGTTTCTTTTCACTCTTTTTTCTCTAATCTTTTCTTCTCGCTTTATTTCATTGAGTTGATCTTCAAACTTTGATATCCTTTCTTCCACTTGATTGATTCAGCTATTGATACTTGTGTATGCTTCGTGAAGTTCCCATGCTGTGTTTTTCAGCTCCATCAGGTCATTTATGTCTTCTCTAAACTGGTTATTCTAGTTAGCAATTCATCTAACCTTTCTTCAAGGTTCTTAGCTTCCTTGCATTGGATTAGAACATGCTCCTTTAGCTCAGAGGAGTTTGTCGTTACCCACCTTCTGAAGCCTACTTCTGTCAATTCGTCAAACTCATTCTTCGTCCAGTTTTGTTCCCTTGCTGGTGAGGGTTTGTGATCCTTTGGAGGGGAAGAGGTGTTCTGGTTTTTGGAGTTTTTAGCCTTTTTGCGCTGGTTTCTTTCCATCTTCGTGGATTTATCTACCTTTGTTCTTTGATGTTAGTGAGCCTCGGATGGGATCTCTGAGTAGACATCCTTTTTGTTGGTGTTGTTACTATTTCTTTCTGTTTGTTAGTTTTCCTTCTAACAGGCAGGCGCCTCTTCTGCAGGTCTGCTGGTGTTTGCTGGAGGTCCACTCCAGACCCTGTTTGCCTGCATATCACCAGTGGAGACTGCAGAACAGCAAAGATTTCTGCCTGTTCCTTCCTCTGGAAGCTTTGTAACAGAGAGGCACGCGCCAGATGTAAGCAAGAACTCCCCTGTATGAGGTGTCTGTTGGCCCCTGCTGAGGGGTATCTCCCCATCAGGATACACAGGAGTCAGGGACCCACTTGAGGAGGCAGCCTGTCCCTTATCAGAGCTCAAACACTGTACTGGGAGAACCGCTGCTCGCTTAAGAGCTGTCAGGCAGTGACGTTTAAGTCTGCTGAAGCTGCGCCCACAGCCACCGCTTCCCCCAGGTGCTCTGTCCCAGAAAGATGGAGGTTTTATCTATATGTGCCTGACCGGGGCTGATGCCTTTTTTTCAGAGATGCCCTGCCCAGAGAGGAGAAAATCTAGATAGGCAGTCTGGCCCTAGTGGCCTTGCTGAACTGCTGTGGGCTCCGCCCAGTTAGAACTTCCCTGCAGCTTTGTTTACTCTGTGATAGTAAAACTGCCTACTCAAGCTTCAGCAGTGGCAGACACCCTTCCTCCCACCAAACTTCAGCATCCCAGGTCAACCTGAGACTGCTCTGCTAGCAATGAGAATTTCATGCCAGTGGATCTTAGCTTGCTGGGCTCTGTCAGGGTGGGACCCGCCAAGCCAGGCACCAAAGGGAATCTCCTGGTCTGCCAGTTGCAAAGACCATGGGAAAAGCGCAGTATCTGGGCCGGAGGGCACTGTTGCTCCCGACACAGTTGCTCCCGACACAGTCTCTCACGGCTTCCCTTTTTTCCTTTTCTTTTCTTACTGCATTTGCTAGTTCTTTTAATAATGTTGAATAGGCGTGAAAAACAGAACATACCTTTTGTCACTCTTAGAAGGAAATAATGAGTTTCTCACCATTTAGCATGATGTGAGTTATAAACCTTCTGATGATTAATGTATCAAGTTGAGGACACTTCCCTCTAATCCTAGATCACTGAGAGTTTTGATCATTAATGGATATGGATTTTTGTCAAATATTTTTCATCAACTCTTGATATGCTTGATTAAATTACTTATTTTTGCATTTGAACCAGCTATACATAGCTAGAATAAATCCCATTTGGTTGTGATATGGAGGTTTTTTTTTAATAAATTGATGGATTTGGGCCTCATAGAGCAAGTTAGAAAGTGCTTATCTCTGCTTCTGTTTTGTGAAAGAGCTTGTAAATGATTGGTATAATTTCATAAATAAATGTTTTGGGGCACTCACCAGAGAAACAATCTGGTTCTGGTTATTTCTTTATTGGGAAGTTAATTATTGATTAAACTGTTTTTAACACATATAATAATATTAAGATTATTTTTATAGTAACCAAAGTTTCAAATGATATTGCCTTTTTACTCTTTCCATCCTTTTTTTCTGATGCCCTCCAGTCTCCTCCATATTCCATTCACTTTTAGAGGAACTAGAGTGGTCTAGGCAATTTTAGAATATTTCTAAAGAGAAGATGGGCTGGTAGAGTTTGGGTGAAGTGGGATGTAGCTATCAGTCAATTTACCATTTAGTGAAGTTATTGACAGCTGTCCAGGATAGGACAAGCACCTCCCACAAGACACTGGGGACTAACATTCAACATGGGATTTGGGCAGGGGAAAATATCCAAACTATATCAGATGATATAGATGTAATTCTTTAAATTTGCATGGAAATTACACCAAATGGCTTTATAAAGTCTTTCAGTTCATCACACTATAGCTTAGAAAAATTGTGATGGTGCATTTCCTCAAGATATTAATTATATGTTGGATAGTGTTTTTATATGTTCTTATAGACAACCTAGGATATGAAATAAGCTTCCATTAAATACAGTGTTAACTGCTGGAATGCATTTAGTGAAACCAGTGCTTCTAAGAATGATGAATTGCAATGTAAAATTTGTAGTAATTATCTTAATCAATGTTTCTTTTGCTACCAATTTAATTAATTTTCTGGTTTTGACTTCCTTAAATGACCCATTAGTGTGTCCCAATGATGTTATTTCATACATGCATTTTAAACACTTGCGCTAGAAATATACTTAGAAGAAATGATTTATTTACATAAATTTCCATATGAATAGCAATACAGAATGATGTCCTCAGATAATTTCAACACTCAATTACAGTAAATAGTTCACCTAAGACGAAGGACTATTCTAGAACAAAGAAGCTAAACTGAAAAAACACCCAAATAATGCAAGAACTAAGATCAGATCTTAGTTTAGAAGGAAATTAACAAAGCTTTAGATCCATTTTTCAGACTCTAGAAAATTTGAATTTATACTCAACTTTAGATGGTATTATGGTTTATTATTAATTTTCTTAAGCACGATCTTAGTTTTGTTTTATATAGAGAGATACTTTCTCTCAAGATATGCTAAAGTAGATGATATAAAAAGATAACAATTTAAAAATTTTGAGTCTATGTAGTGAGTATGAGTGATACTTATACCCTTCTTTTTTTGTAGGATTGGAAATATGTATACTAAAAAAGCTTTGGGGAATTTTTTTTTTCACCAGGAGGTTTTTGAATCTGCATATCAGATTCATTTTTCTTTGTTTTCAATAGGTTTTGGAAATTATCAACAAGTAATTTCTCTGTCTCTGTGCTAAAATATTAAGGTTGGGAGAAAAACAGCTTAGTTCTTCGTTCTAGGAAACATCAGCTCTTGGGAGATGAGCCTGTGAGCCAACTAAAGTATCTTACTTTTCAGGACTAGCAGCTTGTGCACCAAGTCTCACTTCAAGATTTCCACCTTGGCTGGGCGTGGTGGCTCATGCCTGTGATTCCAGAACTTTGGGAAACTGAGGTGTAAGGATCCCTTGAGCTTAGGAGTTTGAGACCAGCCCGGGCAACATAGTGTGATCCAGTCTCTTCAAAAATAAAAAAAGAAAAAGTTAAAAATTGGCTAGTCAAGAGGCTAACAGGGTTTGGGGCTCACGTGAGCCCAAGGAGTTGAGGCTATAGTGAGCCATGATCATGCCATTGCGTTCCATTCTGGGTGTCAATGAAACCCTGTGAAAGAAGGAAAGAAAGAAAGAAGAAGGAAGCAAGAAAGGAAGGAAGGAAAAGAAAGAAAGAGAAAGAGAAAGAGAAAGAAAGAAAGAAAGAAAGAAAGAAAGAAAGAAAGAAAGAAAGAAAGAGAAAGAAAAATTCTACCTCAATCTCAACTAGATCTAGCTGCAGAGTAAAATAAAAAAGTTTAAAACAACTGTGTAGGTATCGGGAAATTTAAACATTATATGAATATTAGATGATATTATAATATTGTTATTCATGGGTATTATATGTGGTTCATGAAATATGTGGGAGGCTTTTTCTTTAACCTTACAACATGCTGAAATATTTTGTGGCAAATTATTATTTATTTTTAGATGGCACAGAAAAACCAATGACATATAGATAAATAAAACACAAGTAAGTATATACAGAACAAATGTGAAAATTATAGAGTGTAACTGGAAGATATACATACGTTCATTGCATTCGTTTTCAACCTTTGTATGAAAACTTTCATAATAAAAATTTTAGGAAATGTTTACACTCAAAAACTTTCTAGGAAAGCATAGCAAACTTACTACTTCCTCATTGTTAATTGTGTCTCTCAGATGGTTATTTTGAGATTCCTGCAGTTTACCAAAAATCTTGTGAATATTTTAGTTTGAGAATCTAAAGTAAGTATTTTTAATATCCTACCAAAGAGCTTTTCCAGTTTATTCAAAATCTCATTCTCAGAAATCTAAAAATAGACATTTACATTTTATATCAAATGTTCTATGTTATTCTTGAGTAGATTCTTTGGGAAAAAATGCACATACACACCTATGTTTACATACACACATACACAAACACATATACATATATATATGCATAATGACACATGTATTTAAAATTAAGCAAAACTCCCTTCTAATATTTTAAATGAGAGAAGAAAAGCAAAATAATAAACATAGCTATTTTAGCATTTAATGAAAGAAATGGTATTTTAGAAGCTTGAAAATGATAGAGTTCTCTGCTGAGGCACTCCATCAAATTCATGAATCACTGCCTCTGCTTCAAGAGTGTTATTACAATTTGAAAAGGGGAGAAAGAACAAGAAAGAAAAAGTTTTAATCCTGATCTGAAAAAAGGGAATAAAAATCATGGCATTGACATCTGAACTTTCAAACAGGTAAATGAAGGCCTGTTTTCAATTGACAGTCCCCTGACTTATATTTAGTTCAAAATTACTATTCTTGCCACTTCAAATTTCAGAGAAATTGGCAATCTGGTGTTGCAAATGCTGAAAGTGAACAAGATCGTCACAGAAAGGCAAATACCATATGTGTCAGACTTAAAATAGAAGCAATTTTATTCTGAGGCTTGGATGATAAAATATCCACTAATACTAACTTTGCTTGGCATTTACAATGCTTGATAATTCTAAGAAAATAATAATAATGTCTATGGCTTATATTTTAAACATGTTTTTTCAACATTTATTTATTATGAATGGATAATTTTATAGAGATAGAACTGTACATAAACACAGATATGTATATGTGTATGTATGTATATAAATGCATATGTTTATATATGTATGAATATATATATGCAAACCATATTTGTGTAGGCATATATGTAAAAATTATATGTGATATATGTACATTATATATATGTATGTACATATGTTCATGCACATGCACACATTATGTGTGTGTGTTTTTTTTTAGAGAAAGGGTCTTGCTATATTGTCCAGGCTGAACTTGAACTCCTGGTCTCAAACAATCCTTCAGTCTGATCCTCCTGAGTAGCTTGAACTATAAGCATGAGCCACCATACCTGGAATCATGTGTATATTTTTAAAGCTTTATTTTGTCAGGTTTCAACTTAAGAGAACAGAATCATTTTGAGTTTTTAAAACAGAATTCAAAAGGGCATTGCTTACGAAAGTAATCCAATGCTGAGAAGTCATCAGGGTGCAATCCAGAGAATAACGAGAGCAGAAAACCACTCTTAGGAGGCCCTCTAGGAGGCTAGCAGAACAAATGAAAGGGCAGAGTTATTTTCAAACACAAAACCCAATCTGGAACAAAACTAGCAAATTCTGCTTATTCTTAAACTTGCAGCCAGAAGGAAACAAACTACTGTCACTTTTGCTTCAGCAGGAATTCAAAATGTATGAGAGGACAATAGTTTCTTGGAGGAAAATGAGAAAATATTGTGATAGTTACATGTTCTATTAGGGTTTATTAGATGGAATTCATAGGAGGCCATTGTTTTGAACTGAACATTTACACTAGGCCCTAACAGACCAAACCAAACTCGAGATGCCACACAATCAAACTGAACTTTAAAACAGGCCAGTTTTAGATAAAACAGGAGATTCACAACAACCAATCAGAAGGGGCCCAATTTACCTGAGCCAAGAAGATAAGGAAGTCCCTTCTGTTTCAACCCTATGATAAAACCAATTTTGAAAGCCCAATCCACTTGTTTCTTATTCAGCTCTTTTCTGCCTCTAAAGCTGACTCCCTCTGCTTAGTTCAGTAAAGCATCTTTCCAAGTCTTTAGATGAGATGCTGCCCTCTTCATAAATCACTAAAAAAAAAAAAAATCCAATTATATCTTTCTTTTTTAGTAGATGGGATATTTGGAAATGAGGTAGACTTTCTAAATGGCTTTCAAATATGTTTAGCAGCCTTTTATTTGCTTGCTATTAATTTTTTCATGACTGGGAAATGTCCGTGATGGGCAGAAAAAGAGGTTTTCCTGTTTTTTTAAGATTATCTTAAGATATTTATCAAACTCTGGGTGGCAGGAGGCAGGAAATATCTGGGCAGTAGCAAAAGCCAGGCAGGGCTTTCTGCCTTTGTGCAAAAACATGTTGTTCTTAGTTCCCAAAGTGAGATATGCCTCAGGAAGCAGTTGGATACTGCAGTCAATGGTCCACATTGGGTCCATACGTACTGTACTGTGGGAGCCAGAGCCAGATCAAACACTCAGTTGAGGCCAGTTCAGGGAAAGGATGTGAGCATGGTGGTGTGGGTGGTGGTGAGGATGTCAAAGATAACCCAAACTGGATATCTGGTAAAACTGTAACTTGTGAAAGTAAGGAAAAGAGGTAAGCTTCATTCCGATTTTCACAGAGGTGATTTAAAGAGAAATAAAGGAGGATAAAGCGGGGAGTGATCTGGGACTCAAGAAGAGTGAGAGAAGTGAAGAATTACTAAGGGTTGGTTAGCATAAACGCAGTGAGGCCAGCAGTGTCTGCTACCTGGCAATGATCAAAGTTAGGACTTTTTCCGGGCATAAAGAGTGGAAAACACTGTCCTTTCTGACAATTACACTTCAAAGGAATGGTTTTCAGGTCCTTGAGACAGCACTCCTGAGCTGTAGGAAGTACACATAAATCTCAAATGGACACAGGAAGGATTCACAATTGTAAGCCCCTTTTAGTAAATGGTCTATTTTCTAAAAAAAGGGCCTATATCAAGTGCTAGCTAGAATAAATAGTTGTTTACACAGCCCTAAGCTTTACTAGACAGAAACTCAAAAGGAGTCTCCCCAGGGACACAGCCTTAGGCTGCTAGAAGCCAAGTTAAAGTTTGGTCAAGTCTTAGAGCAGAGGTTTGCGTAGCAACATTTCCATTGCTGTGGGATGTCACCTCCTCAGCATAAGATGGTATGGAGTAACTTAATACCAGGTGAGTCAGCCACTGACAAACTACTTCAGTCATGAAAGCTTTATTGATGGCATGCTGTGATGGTGAATAAGGCATTTTGGAAAATACAAGAATTGTTAAATTAAATTTACAGGAGGCTCTTGGTTTGGACTGAGCTCCTGCACTAGACCCTGCAGACGAAAGCAAAATGGAGTTCCTCATAATGGAGTTCCACACCAACAAGCCAAAATGAGGCTGTTTATCTGACCTTCCAAGGAATCAAGAGAAGAAATAGCCAAATCCCTAAACAGGACAGTTTAGCGAGCATGAAAAGGAAGTCCCTCCTGCTTTATTTAAGCTTTACAAAAAAAAAGTAACTGAAACAACCAATTCACTTTTTATTCTTTGTTTCCGCTTTTGTCAAATATTTTCTATCTATAAAGCCAGTCTCTGCTCAGTTCATCAGAACACTCACTACTTTATAGAATGAGGTGTTGACTGATTTTAGAGTTTCAAAGGAAAGCCAGTTAAGATCTTTAAACTAAATATTTGTAATTATGTATTTTAGCAGACATATAATGCTGTCAGAAGAAAGGTAGTGAGAAAAGGTAAATACATCAGTAGAAAGATAAATAAAGCTTCCTCCATGTTAGAAAAGTTCAATGTAATCAATTATTCATCAAATAATGGTTTTATATTGGGGTTTACCATTGGCAATAGATTGGATTCTAAGCAGTGGAATTAGCCAGATCAGGCTGTGTGAAACAAGAATCACATTTTGACCTCATTATGGCTGATGTTGTGTGGCTGTGTCTCCACTCCAACCTCACCTTGAATTGTAGCTCCCACAGTTTCCCTTGTGTCATGGGAGGGACTTGGTGGGAAGTAGTTGAATCATGGGGGCAGGTTTTTCCTGTGCTATTCTTGGGATAGTGAATAAATCCCATGAGATCTTACAGTTTTATAAATGGGAGTTCCCCTGCACACGTCCTCCTGCCTGCTGCCATGTAAGACATGCTTTTCTCCTCCTTTGCCTTCCACCATGATGGTGAGGCCTTCCCAGCCATGTAGAACTGTGAGTCCATTAAACCTCTTTTTCTTTATAAATTACCCAGTCTTGAGTATGTCTTCATTAGCAGCATGATAACTGACTAATACAATGGCTACACAAAAAAATGAACCCATCGAAGGAGTACCACAATGTCTGTTGAAAACACTGATGAAAAGCCACAGAATAGGTCTAGTTCTCCATTAGATTTGTGAAATCCTCCTCTACATTCTCTATGTTGAGCATTCACATGGGATATAAATGTCTCCACAGACCATCCATATTGTGTGAATTACTTCACATATCTAGAACCCAAAACTCCTTGTTATCAATCTTCTAGCCTTCCTTTTTTAAAAGCCTTTGATGAACAAGATACAATATTATTAACCACTGCCCGTATAGGATTATAAATCCATATACCATGAGCTACCACTTTTCCCATACAAAATAAGACAACTGGATACATCAGTTAAAGTTTAAGGAGAGTTGAAAAAAACTGTAAAATAATGCCTCTTTTACATTTATAGATTATTTGAAAAAAGTTTCATAATCATATTTATTTACATGTTATGAATTTGTTATTTTAAGTGAATTATAAATTATAAATTAAAATATTCAAAATAAATATTTTTAAGATATCTGAATTTTCTTCTTAATATGATATACAGGAACAATCAGAAAGATTTAAGCCCACTTATTTGAGTTCCTGGCCTTTCTGCTAGCAATTGTGAGTTCCTTGCTTCTAACTTCAAAGGCCTTCAATTTGTTCCTTTGGAATTATTCTTTCCTATTTTTCTATCCTATTGTTCCCTATCTGTTGTTTGCTTTTCTTTTTTTTCTGTTTCACACTTCACTTAGAATAAAGTGCAGCTCTAGCTACCTCTTTCTTTTTAGTTTCTCATAAAGTGGCATTCCTCACTCAGGATCCCTTTATACCAGTGGCTCTACATTAGGTGCTCTTTTGTTACCAAAGTGAGCATTTAACAATATCCAGATACATGATTCCTTTTCACCAATGTGGGTGTGCTACTGAGATCTAGTGAGTGGAGACTAGGGATTCTGCTAAATCCTGTAGCACATAGGACAGCCCCCAACAATAAGGATGTTTCTGGCTCATAATGTCAGAAGTGTCTGTTCTACACTTTTAAGCATCCGAGAGCCCCATTACTCGTTAAACATTTAAGAGTGCTTTCTTTGTTACAAGAATTATATATTTAGAAGGAAGAAGAGTTTACGATGATTTCTGTCTTAAGGACCACACATATGAAATACTGCAAAGGCTTGAGTTGAGCCTGAGTAAAAGAATTAGGGAGGTTCATGTGAAAATGATAGGCATGAAATCAAGTACTGATAAACAATTTGTCAGAACAGAGAGAAGAAACTATGTTCAGAAATATGTATAGGTTATCCACTGCTGCATAATACATTTTGGAAAATTCAGCAACTCAAAACAGTAGACAATTGTTATCACAACTTCTGTGAGTTCGGAA